>NC_000006.12:164313214-164464729 GCF_000001405.40 Homo sapiens
ATTAGGATGACTATAATAAAAGATGGACAGAGGATGTGTATAATGGATGCCTCCTACATAACTGGTGGGAATGTTAAAATGACGCAGCCTGTTTGGAAACAGTTTGGCATTTTCTCTAAAGTTAAATTAGAATTACAATATAACCTAGCCATTCTACTTTTAGGCATATATCCCAAATAACTGAACAAAAAATATGTTTGCATAAAAACTGTCACCTGAATATTCATAGCAGTATTATTCATAGTAGTGAAAAAAGTAGAAACAATCCAAATTGCTATTATCTGATAAATAGATTTTAAAATGTGGTATATCCATACACAGAATATTATCTGGCCATAAAAAGCAATGAAGAATATACGTATGCCACACTGAATAACCCTTTAAAACATTATTATAAGAGAATGCAGCCATACCCAAAAGGCTACATATTTTATAAACCCATTAAAATTAAATGTCCAGAATAGGCAAATCTATGAAAATAGAATGTGGATTATTGGTCACCAAGGACTTGAGGGTGGACAGAATGGGAAGTGAATGCTGATGGTATGATGAAAATAATTAGGAATTAGACAGTGGTGATGGGTGCCAAACCTTGTAAATATACCAAAAACCACTGAATTGTACACTTTAAAAGAGCAAATTTTTTGGTTTATGAGTTTTGTCTCAATAAAAAATATATACATGGACATTTCAATATAGCATATTAAGGAGTTATTAGAATCAGTCAAAGAGTTTAAAATCTCTGGATTCAAAAACTGCTGCAATATTGGAAAGCAAATATTCACAGGCTTAGAAATATTGCTTAAATTTAAAGATTGTTGCATTCAATGGAAAAGAACACTTTTCGTATGAAGATTCAGATGGACCGATTATTAATGAAGACAATTGTAAATTTAATTTTAGAAATTAAATTTCTTAGAAATATTGCTTAAATTTAAAGATTGTTGCATTCAATGGAAAAGAACACTTTTCGTATGAAGATTCAGATGGACCGATTATTAATGAAGACAATTGTAAATTTAATTTTTCTTCATGATTGAAGATACAGCAATTGAATGCATAAAACCATTTTGAATTATGTGCAACTCATGGAGTCACAAGTTACAGTGACATGGAGTCACAAGTTACAGGGCAAGTTACAGAAAATGTCTGACAAAATGCTAAAATGCTGTTGCATACATTTACATTTAAAATTAAGCTCAGACTTACATGAAACTGATATGCATGAAAAATTAACGTTTTAGAAAAGTTGTTCTATGAGAATCTTCATTTCTAGATGTACTAAAATTTATATTTTAAAATAATTTATCAGAACTTTCTCCCAGTGTTGTCAGTCTATAAAATACTCTTAACAGCTCTAGTAACAGCTATATCAACATACTGATCCTTCTCAAAATATAAAATTTTCAGTGAGTATTTGTAATTTTGCATTTGCCAAAAGCTTCTAGTGTTGCTTTCGATTAAATGATAGAATTTCTCATACATATTTTCAGTAAGGAAGCTCATCTGCTCATACTAGACTCATCTGTGTAGTATTTGGAAGGTGGTGCTCAAATTTCTACTTGGGTAACATAGTTAAATAATGGAATTTTAATAAAATGAGAGCCAGGGACCTCTATGAAAATCAGTTCTATCTTGCATACGTTGTATTTCATCAATACCAACTATGCGTCAGACATCCAATTTCTTTAAAGGCTTTGTAAAATGAGAGTAATAAAAGTGGCAATTGGCTGGCATTTTCATGATGTTGCCAAAAGTATAAATCTTGATGACCTAATAAATGCATTTGCAGAAAAGCAAGCCAGAAAAAACTTATTATCTATTAAGGTATTGCATTAGTAAAACATTTTTGTATTATATAAAACTATGACAACCCACATTTTTTTTTTGCAACTTGCATTCATGTCTCACTATTATTCTCTTTTAAAAGTAATACAACATTTTGAAAAAAATCTTTACATTTTAGCACATTTAATTGCATTTTCTTCTTGGGTTTTTTGAACAAGAGGCTTCTTATTTTCAGTTTACACTGGGCCCTGCACATTATACAACTGGCCCTGGATGTGAAGTATATTACTTAGAACCTGACCTTAAAATGTTAGGGCACCCCTTTTAGTGTAAAAAAAAATCATACTTTTAAAGAAATGAAAGTGCCAAAAATGTCTAGATGAAATTGATCCTTATAGACTTGATCTTATCTGGTTTGGTCATCTTCTTCCTTGTGCTCTAGGGCATAGCTGCAAATGCTTTAAGGAATGTGTGTTGGTGCTGGGAGGTGAGATCAGCCTAGACCCAGTGGTTCTCATTCAGGTACAATACCACCACCTCGCACAAGGGAAAGGCTTGTAAATATGTGAGTGCATGTTCTGGCTGTCGCTGCTGGCATGTAGTGATGAAGGTCAGAAATGCTGCCACTCCTGGAGTGTGCAGGGCAGTTCTTTACAATGGAAATTTATCTTGCCCCAAATGCCAGTGATGTTCCAGCTGAAGAAAGCTATTTTATTTTCCTGCCCAGTGTGAAGCAGATTCACTGTGCACTGATTATCTGCTTGTTTGAGTCTGGTAAGGCTGAGCGCCCTCACATACATGTCATATGAACAGCACTTACAGATAGGCAGCAAGGGACAGCAGAAGCATTGCATTCATGGTGAGCTGGTCTTCCAAGTCCCAGGAAAGCTGCCCAGGAAGGACAGAATCTCTGCACATGCCCCACTTGCACCATAGCTGAGGGACCCCCAGAAAGCAGCCCACCATAGATTTTATATACCAGGAACAACGTGACATGCTAGGCTGAAGCACAGAAGGATATTTTGTTTCTAGGGGTGACTGGAACAGAGCCCTGGCTGTTCTGGTCAGTTCTTCCTTGTCTCAGGATGTTGCATTCTCAGCACATTCTACATTATTCTCGAGAATAAATGGGGAAGACTAGTTGGTCCAAGGCTACCCAGAGAACTGTCCTGCACCCAGCACTATCTCTACTCCCTCTGCCAGTCAGTAGCCCCACATAGGGTGAATCACTTCCAGAATACCCAGTATGTAGACTTGTCTCACTTACTAAAGTACAAGACATGTACTGAGCCAACTTTGCTGGACAAATCATAGCACTTGGGAATTTCAGGGTGAATTAGCTAAAAAAATCAAGCTTTCCTCCTAGCCAAAAGGGTCTACTCCTTTCCTCCTAGCCAAAAGGGTCTGAAGCTTGCATAAGGTGAAAGAGCACAGTGGATGGAGTCTTTTGACGTCATTCCATGCAATTTACTATGTGTACGGAACACAGCAATACCTTCCATTAAACTACGGGCTAAGGCAGCAATGCTACACTGGGAGCATCCGCATTATAAATGTCAGTGCTGCCTGGCACACTTTTATGTAGTTGGCAGTCTCACCTCTCTTATGAACATAGTTATTTGTTATTCTACCATTGCCATTCCAATGGATAAAGCTGGAACACATATACACCATTAGCTACAGAGCTGAGATTAATCAAATAAGACAGCAGGGTCTTACAAAACTATCTGATTCTACCAGGGCAGTATAGGTTTCATGATTACAGTATATCCTACTTGTAAACTTTTTTTTTTTTTTGTAGAATTATACAGATTGTTCCAATCTTCAAACAGAGGAGCGGAGAAAACAAATTGGAAAGGCAAATATGAAAAAGTTCTTTACACCCATTATAGAAAATTAGATTGTTAAAATTGCCATCAATTTTAAATGTGTTATAAAAGCATCTTCCTTTACTCTTCTATGCATCTTATATATATATATATTTTTTTACAATAAATTCAATGCACTTGGAAAAATACCCAGATGGTTTAATTTCTTTAGGGAAGGATAACATTCACAGCTGCCAGAAAATGTATTTCTTCGTTGTGGCTACCACCTGATGTTCATAACATAAAACTGGAACAAAAAATAGAAATGCAAATAACAAATGAAGTGGATTACAGAAAAACTAAGATTATCACTATGTTCTCTCAGAGAAAAGTAGAAGACTCCAGCTCTTAGTTTGAAGCACATCATTAGTGCCAAATCAATGCAACAGAGAAAATGCCCAATAAACCACTGAATCCAATGGACTGAAGAGAGAGAATAATTACACATTTGCATTTAAAGAAGTACTGTTTGAAGCTCTGCTGTTTGGCCTTAAATAGCAGTGGAGTGCTGCCTCATCAGCCATTGGAGTTGGAAGATCTTACAAAAATCAATGCACAAAGAAATCATTCATATTAAATTCTAACTTAAAAAGAGTTACCAGGAATGATAATTATTTAAAGACCTTAATTTTCTGGGTAGCCAATAACATTAATGAACACCTACTGTGTGCTTTACATTGAACTTAAAATGAAAGGAAGGCAAAAAACGCACAGTAGATGCAACTTGCTATTGCCCCTACTTGTTCAAAATGTTCTTTCTGTGCTAGAGTATTTTTTGGACTGCACAGGCATCCTCTTCTCTACATACGTATAAGTTATATCTATCATTCATTAGGTAATTCAAACATCAAATTTTCTACATAAATATCTATGGCCAGAAGTAATCTACTTTGTAAACCAACATTGTCTATGTATTTATGTATGCATGTGTGTATCTATCTATTTACCTACTAAAGTCTGTCATTTACTGTACACCAGCTAGTACAAACGTCTTTGCTCAATGCAGTATAGCAAACATCAACACAATGCATATTACATGCCAGCCAACAGAATATTTTATACTCAGAACACTGTAAAGTTGGTAGTATTATTACCAAACCACATTTAACATTTTATGAGTAACTTAAGGCACAGAGATAAAAAGTGACTTGCCCAGAGATGTTTACCTGGTAAATGGCAGAGTAGGAATTTAAACTCAGGACATTAGGCTGTGGAATCTGTGCTCTTCGCCATTTTTCTGTTTTTATGTTATCTTCTTTCATCACCACAACAACTGTATAAAGAAAGAAACACAATCTCTTATTTCTCAGGTGAAAGAAAAAGCAGCCTCAGGGTAATGTATGCTAACAAATTATCCTTCCCCGGTTTCACAGATGCTGATAGAAGACATGAGATTTCTAGTCCAGAGACAAAGGACTTTATTATTCATAGCAATAGCAATAGCATTTTTTGTACCAGTTTCCCAAGCTGCAGTTTTAATAGGGTGAAGTGAAGAGACAGGTGACATTGCACAAGCCAGAGACTGCATTAGAGGAGGGGAGACCTGGAATCTTAAATCTTTCGTGGGAGGTAAGCATGCCTGCACTTTGCTCTGGAGGAAGACAATATTTCTACCTATCTTTCTTTTTTAAATTAGTGTATAAATTGGCAAGTAAAAACTCTATGTATTTATGATGTACAGCATAATGCGTCCATATATGTACACATTGTGGACTGGCGATCACTTCGCATACTTATCATTTTTTGTGTGTTAGAACACAAAATCTACTCTCTCCACCGTTTTCAGATACACAATACATTGTTATTAACTGTAGTCACCATGATGTACAAGGGATCTCTTGAACTTACTCCTCCTGTCTTACTGAAATTTTGTGTCCTTTGACCAACATCTTCCTAATCTTCCCACCCCTAGCCTCTGTAACCACCATTTTACTCTCTGTTTTTATGAGTTCAATGTTTTTTGATTCTACATATATGTGAGATTATGTGTTATTTGTCTTCATGTGGCTGGCTTTTTCACTTAATATAATGTACCCACTTCCATCCTTGTTGTCACAAATGACAGTACTCCACTGTGTATACGTACCACATTTTCTGGTTAGCCCTTGATGGTCACCTAGGTTAATTCGGTATCTTAAGTATTGTGAATAATTTTGTAACAAACATGGGAGTACAGATATCTCTTCTACAGACTGATTTCATATTCTTTGGCAATAAACCCACTACTGAGATTACTGGATGATATGTTGGTTGTAGTTTTAATTTTTTGAGGAGATTTCATGGTGTTTTCCATAATGACTGTACTAATTTAACCTAAATTTATATTAGCATATTTATAATGCTCTTCCCCCAACTCTACTTTGGAGTTAGGGCCTAGGAATGTGAAGAACTGGAAACCAGACTGTGATCAGCCTTAGACACACCCCCTCCTATCTTGTTCTTTCTGTTATTGAATAAAGGAAACTCTTATTACCCTTTAGGCAGAAGATGGCTGTCACATAATCACGTTTTTTTCTTACTCTATGGCTTATAATATTAACGTCCTGCGCAGTTTTGTAAGCCTTTTCTTACCAAAACTCACAACTTTTTTCATATTTCATCAAAGCTTGGCTCTTCTAAATAAAAACCTTCTTTTTAAGATTATTCTTTCATTATTCATTCATTTATTCTTTCATTCGTGCATCTAATTGTTTGCTATAGAGTTGCCAAAACTATGTTCAGCTCTTCAATTCTTGTCTTTGGTCAACATTTTATTTGCCTTTTAATTCTGAGTAAATACAAATGGAAAATACCCAATAATGCTCTGTTGTGTCTATGTACCACATTTTCTTTATCCATTCATCTGTTGATGAACACTTAGGTTGCTTCCAAATCTTAGCTATGTAAACTGTGCTGCAACAAACATCAAAGTGCAGGTATCTGTTTGATTTACTGATTTTCTTTCTTTTGGGTATATACTCAGCAGTGGGATTGCTGGATTATATGGCAGTTCACTTTTTAGGTGCTGAAAAACAGAGTAAATAGGGTAAAGGGAATGAAAAAAATTAATTATCGACCTTATGTAATATTTTAAAATAAAAGTTAAAGATAAAAGGTTAAATGTAAAATTTCTAGGAAGGCATAAAGTATTCAACATAACTAGCTATGAGCAAATAGCAACCAAATCTTCCTTAATCCAGAAAATTACTCCCTTCTTTGCCAACATAATTTGCTTTTTATTTACTCTGAATATTTACTCACCAGAGGGTTTATCCTCCTTCTATGGCACTTAAAAGGATAAAAAACAAAATTACTTCAATGGCTTTTCAAATCTTAATTCCATGATTACCCAAAGGGAATGGTATTAATTCTTCTGAGGACTCCGGCACCAGAGCTTTCCAGTTAGCAGTGGGTTGTGCAGAAGTGTGTTGAGTAACTACAACTGGGCTCCACATATCGATCACCTCAGCTTTGGGTGACCAGAAGCAGGGTGATTTGCTGGAACTCCCAGGCTGGTCACCTCTGGTCATGTGCAGTCTCTTCCATTGACACCAATATGTAATATTAAATAGAAATGATATGATTATTTTCTATGTGTACCATGATGTCTGAGGGTTAGGAAGGATTTCCCTGTGCCTGGTCTTCCTAGTAACACATGGTGTAGCTGGTAGTTATATTTTTTTCATAGCAACATTTATTAGCATCCAATTCTATCATATATAGTAATATTTTTGTCATTCGTATTTTTTGTGTCCCTGAAAACACAGTATCTTGTGCATGCAAATTCCCAACAATACCTTTAATAGAAATAAATTTTATTTATGGACAAATTAGTTTCCAAAAGGAGTTAAAGTTGTTAGATGGTAGAGGGTAAGACCAACTATTTTCCAGACCAGTATTTTTAAATTACACCCCTATTAGGAATGGGGATGGCGTAATTTAATATTGTTGTTCCATAAAGTGTCTTGGCTGAAGTACAGAGTATCTGCTGAAAAAAAAGATGGTACCAGAATTTGAAAGAGTTTGTTAAAAAATAATTGATACTAGAGGGTTTAATTTATTTTCAGTAAACTTCAACTATTGAGAGTTTTTCTTTCTCATATTCATAGAGCTTTCATAGCAGATGACTGTGAAGTGCCTCAGAAGAAGAGACGTAGCAATCTGGAGCTTTATGAAATGTATTGTTAGTATGATTAGAACTCTGTACAAGCCTATAAATGAACAAATGCTGTTAGTGGCTATAGAAATGGAAAATAAAATACATGAAAGATACAATGGAGAAATAGTTGGTAACAGTCCATGATGAAAAAATAAAACACGCAAGTCAGAGGAGTAGGTAATAGTTAATGTTTGAAAAACTGGGGAAAGGCTGATAACAACGGAATTGGAAAGCATGTTTCTGGGATTCAGTCTGGGGAGATCGATGCCTTTAGTGGGTGAGTAGGAAGAAGCAAAGGCAGAAAAAAAGAGCGAAAGAAGCTAAGTAAACAGAGAAAACTTAAGTAACCCAGGGGGTGTGTGTTAAAGAAACTAGAGTGGAAGAAAACTACAAGAGACTTGCTGCAGACTAACAGCCTTTTAAGAGAGAGCTCCAACAAAAAAGGTAAGACTATACCATGATACTTAATCTTTACGAGTGCATTAATCATCTGACAGAGAGGGGTGAGGAAACGGAAGCATTCATTATTTCTCTTTGGCATTTCCAGGAGATGAATGACATGAGATGGTACAGTTGAAGAAACACCAAGGCCAAGGAAAGGTTTTTCTCAAGAAATGTTACCTGGTTGGCAAAACGGCCAAAAGGAAATTGTGATCAATTGTAAAACCAGAAGAGAATGAATGAAAGAGACATCCGTGAACCTTCTGAATGGGAAGTTCATTGAAATTAATCCATTTGAATCAGTTGGATGAATGTGGAAGATAATTAATATTAATTTCTGATTGATTCTTACTTAGTGTTTAGCTTTTATGTCTTCTAAATTCAGATGGTGGATGAATGTAAGAACTACGTGATTTTTCATGAGTCTAAATTTTATCAAATAGTGTTAAAACACACTGATGAAATAATACACAGTAACTGACTCATTGGCACTAAAAAAAGGAAGCAAGGTTTTAGCAATATTGTTGAAGAGGATTTTATTAAAACTATACTTTTCATATGGCTAAACTATAATGGTATTTTGCAGTAAGACAAAATAGCTACATAGGATCTTTGAGAATTATCCAGAAAAGCTAACAAATTTCCCCAAGATGAGGAAACAAAAATAAACTTGCTCAATGATTTATATTGAATATACCTTATTTATAGTCTTTTTTTTTTTGTTGTTTTTTTGAGACAGAGTCTTGCTCTGTCGCCCAGGCTGGAGTGCAGTGGTGCAATCTTGGCTTACTGCAACCTCTGCCTCCCAAGTTCAAGTGATTCTTCTGCCTCAGGCTTCCGAGTAGCTGGAACTACAGGCGTGCGCCACCACGCCCGTCTAATTTTTGTATTTTTAGTAGAGATGGGATTTCAACATATTGGCCAGGCTGGTCTCAAACTCCTGACCTCGTGATACACCCGCCTCAGCCTCCCAAAGTGCTGGGATTACAGGCATGAGCCACTGTGCCCGGCCTTATTTACAGTCTTTAAAATTCGAAGACAAGCTGGTTATAAATCTACTGTTGAATGTGGATTTTTTGGTATCTCAGGGTCAACATTCACTATGTTGCTGTTCATTCAGCTCTGTCGAAACTCAAATCATTCACAAGAAAAAAGTTATGAACAAAACACCCTTAGCTTTTTGACACGAGTTAAACATTCTTGTTTTGAAACTGAGTATGAGTCTAGAGGCTAAGTAGCTATCCCCAGATCATAAGGCAATAGGGACTACTTGTTCCTGAAAAGATACAGCCTCATTTCTGCACTGTGTGTTATGCGATGACTCATTTGTTATTCCGGTTAATCATGTACAAAGCTATTCAAAAGAATTCCAGATCAACATGAATAGTATTATAAATCCAGGCAGGAGTTCAGAGGTTTTTATAAGAGATATCTATAATTATTGCTTAGACTGCCAAAAGCACAATAAAAGAAACTACAACTCTGAATAGCAGGCATAAAATTCATATTAGCCTTATGGAATACACACAGATTACATTCTAACATTCAATTAATTCAAGGTTAAGGCTACATCCACATTTGAAGAGCTAGCAAAGTGAGGATCTCCATTATTTTGTAAGTCATTGAGCAATATATTGGACTGTTGGCTGCTATATTTAGTATAATATGATATAGCCTTTGAATGGTTATTAAAAGTATGATTTTTGTAAAGCTTTTATTTTTTAGAATATAAATGTTAAGTATAAAAATTCAATCATCTCAGCATGTGTAAAGAAAGTTAAAAAAAAAGCTTGAAATTCCACCACCAGAAATAACCACTGTCAATTCGTCTGCATCAGCATTTCACTGACTGCATACTATTCCATTTTATATCTGTGCTGTGTTTCACATAAACCAATTTCACATTGATGAAATATGGTTTGCTGTACATTTTTCACAATTATGAAAACAATCATGGATATCTTTCTGTCTACAATGATTTCCATTTGTGATCTTTTTTTCCACAAGATGCCCCAGAAATGTGATTGCTGAACATTTTATATCTTAATACATTTTTTCAAATTTTCTCATCAGAAAGTTTATATCAATTTGCACTCCTTCACTATAAGATAAACGTACCCATTATTAATACTTGGCAACTCCAGTCTGTCAAATTTTTAATCTTTTCAAGACACTAGAGAAAAATATGTTATATTATTACTTTTAATTCTTTTTAGATTTTAGAGATAGGGTCTTGCTTTGCCATCCAGGCTGGAGTCCAGTGGCACAATCCCAGCTTGGTGCAACCTTGATCTCTCAGGCTCAAGCAAGCCTCTTGTCCCAGCCTCCCATGTAGCTGGGACTACAGGTGTGTGCCACCACACCTGGCTAATTTTCTCAATTTTTTGAAGAGACAGGGTCTTGTAATGTTGTCCAGACTAGTCTCGAATTCCTTGTCTCAAGCAATCTTCCTGCTTTGGCCTCCCAAAATGCTGGGATTATAGGTGTGAGCCACTGTACCTGGCTAAATATTTCACATTTTATTTTAAAATTTGGTCGTATTTTCAAATATTTGCTGTGAGTTGTGGGGTTTTTTATTGAGGATATTTTTCCAGTGTCTTCTTTTTAATTAGTTATTTTTATATACATTTAAGGTTTACATTATGATGTTTTGAAATACATATGCATATGTATGTGTGTATATATATATATATATATATATATATATATATATATACACACACCCACATAATTACTACAGTCAAGCAAAGTAACATATTCATCACTTCATGCAGTCATCTTTTTTGTGGTTAAGGGTACTTAAAATCTACTGTCCTTGCAAATGTTCAATATACAATACAATATTTAACTCTACAAATGTTCAGTGTACAATACAATATTTAACTCTAGTCCTCAATGCTGTGCATTAGCTCTCTAGACTTATTCATCCTATACAATGCAAGTTTGTAGCTTTTGACCTACATCTCCCCATTTCCTTCCACTCCCTGCCCCTGGTAACCACAATTCTACTCTCTATTTCTATCTATTTGACATTTTTTGGATTCCACATATAAGTGAGATCATAAACCAGACACAGAAATAACCTATGCCAATATATAGAAGAAACAATTTCCAAGATATGGAAACAACCAATTCATCAATGAATAAATGAATAAAACAATTTTGGTGTGTATATATAAACTGAAATTGTGCGTGTATTCATTATCTATCTATCTATCTATCTATCTATCTATCTATCTATCTATCATCTACACACACACAACATATTTATACATGTCTTCCAGATTCATTCATGTTGTCAGAAATGGCAGTGACTCCTTTTTTTTGTTTTGTTTTTTGAGATGGAGTTTCGCTCTTGTTGCCCAAGCTGGAGTGCAATGGCATGATCTCAGCTCACTGCAACCTCCATCTCCCGGGTTCATGCAATTCTCCCGCCTCAGCCTCCCGAGTAGTTGGGATTACAGGTATGCGCCACCATGCCCAGCTAATTTTGTATTTTTTTAGTGGAGATGGGATTTCTCCACGTTGGTCAGGCTGGTCTTGAACTCCTGGCCTCAGGTGATCCACTTGCCTCAGCCTCCCAAAGTGCTGGGATTACAGGCATGAGTCACTGGGCCCAGCCATCCTTTTCTAAGACTCAATAATATTTCATTGTATACACATATACAAATGTTCAGTGTACAATACAATATCTAACTCTACATTTCATTGTACTCTAATATTTCATTGTACTCTAATATTTCATTGTATATACATATACAATACAATGAAATATTGTGGTGTATATATATGTGCATACATACATTTACAATTTTGGCATATATATATTTGGTGCGTGTATATGTATTTCTATACTATTATATATAATGTTTGTATATATTGTTGTGTATATATTACAGTTATTACTACAGTCAGCATATTTATCTGTATCAGGGTATCTATAGCATTGATTCACTCATTTGACAAAAACTTATTAGGCAACTACTATGTGCCAAACACTGTATAAGAAATTTATCACAGGGCAGGAGAGAGCCCATGTCCTGTCCTCAGAGAGCAGGAAAGAGCAGAAACACTACCAAAGTAGTAACAAACAAATGCATACAAAATAAATTATTGATGATACAGTTTTAGGTCCTGATGAAATATGCAGAAAATAGAAAACTGGGGATAGAGAGGGAATGGAGGATGGATTGTCGTAACTTTATCCTTAAGGATATGACTTTTGAGCTGAGACATGAATAACGAGAAGGATTCAGCCACCGAAGTTCTGAGAGATCATACTGGGTAGAGGGAAGACAGAGCTTTGTAGGTCATGGTAAAAATTATGGATTTTATCGTTGCTGTAATGGGAAGACATTGTAGGCTTGGTACTTTCTGTGTGTGGAGGGTACTTGTCGGTTTTATGCTGTCAGTTGACACTGCTGTCACTGCACACTGTAATAACTGGATGACTACATTTTCTGGCTTTGCCTAAGTGATGGTGCTTTGACAATGGGTAAGATAGATCAGAGACCATAGCTCTCTGGACTTGTCTATTTGTTACAAAAGAGGGCTTCGAGTGGTCCACACCTAAAGCACCAGCTATGTTTGTTGGCAACTGAATGAATGATTTCAGTAATAAGATGCCAAAATGGAATTACATCATCTGACTTAGTTTGGCAAAAAAAAAAAAGAAGAAAGAAATAGTGCTGAATATAACTCCATTCTAATATGAAGTACTAGGTACTTATGGAAGCCCTGAAAAAAGACAGGGTCTCTCTCTGTTGCCCTGGCTGGAGTGCAGTGGTGTGATCATGGCTTACTGCAGCCTCAACCTCCTGGGCTCAAGAGAGCCTCCTGCCTTACCCTCCTGAATAGCTGAGATTACAGATGCACACCACCACGCCCAGCTAATTTTAAAAATATTTTGTAGAGATGGGGTCTCTCTATGTTGCCGAGGCTGGTCTCCAGTTCCTGGCCTCAAGTGATCCTCCCACCTTAGCCTCCTAAAATGTTGAGATTACAGGCATGAGTCACTGTGCCTGGCCCATACTCTTTCTGTTTTAAGTTTTAACTCCAACGTACCATAAATGGAAAAAATCGTGAAAGAAGTTTTTTTTTGCAAGAAAGGATTTCTTTCCTTACTTCATATTTTTTGCTATTACAGAAGCTATTCATATGCATTGTTGAAAATTTAAAAATAAAAACAAGCAAAAATGGCAAAATAAACTGTATTTCGACTACAGAGATTACCATTGTGAATACTTTCATGTATATTATAAACATACATTTACCTATTCTGTCTCCTATGCATGCATTTTTAATTCATATGAGATGATACTGCTTAATTTTATTTTGTACATCTTTCAGTCGCTTTTCAAATTCTCATTTCAATACATTTTTATCTCATTTAAGGGTCACATCATTTTCAAATGTCTTCAATTATCTATAAAATGTCCTTTATATCTGGTATGTCCAAACATTGTCAAAGTGGAGTTTGTACTTCATCTAGGTATTTTGTGTCCGTTGCTCCACTCTTTTTCATGATAACAAAGAAACTAGGCCCTTTGTACAACCTGATAAAAGAGTGTCTATTGATAGACACGCTTGAGTCTGTGGCATGATTTCTCTTCATCCTGTGATGGAGGGGAAGGCAGTGGCTCTCCCTTTCCTCCCTCACCTAACTCTTGTGAGGGAAACTTGGAGAGATACAGTAACGGGCTTGATACGAATTTTGCAGAGTTTTTAGACACAATGAATTGGTATCTAAATTATGCTTGGAAAATTCCAAAGCAAGAGACAGTAATCTGCTAGCTGCCTTGTGAGCAGAGTCACGATGGCAGACATGAGACCTGCATTTCTACCCATGATACCCATGGTGGGTCCCAGGAGCAAACTTTCTCCACAACAACTGTAGACTCTACAAAGAGAACAACAGATGTCAAGAAACTAAGGAAGTTTCCGCTAGAGGAGATGGAACATTCACACCACAGGAAGTACAACTGCTGTTTCCAGCAAGGACATTTCTAATGAGTCAATTTCAAATATCTACGTACTACATCAAAACATTATAGTCAGATAATATTTTTTCTGTACCCTACCTCTCCTTTCCACCCCAACCCTGGAAGAACAAATGGCTGCCCAGTGGACAGAGATGCAAGCAGCCAAGGTATGAAAGAGAGAGGAAGATGGCAGCCCCATTCCTGTCCCGGGAGGACCCCACCCTGGATCCAGCCTGCAAGAAAGAAGCTTTGACGAATAAGGAAATTTGGAGTTTTCATTATTACAGTTTAATTAGAGGAATGGATGCAGCTGCTGTGACTTCAATTTGGAGACTTATTTGTTATCCAGAGGTGACCAGAAATACAAGTGACCTACCTGAGATTTTTCCATCAAGGCTGGTGGGAGGTATTATACAAACTGCTTTGTGATTTTACCCTATTATGTTCCACTTGTTCAAGGCACTAATTATGGGCAAATAGTTGCTCTCTTCTCATGGAAAATAAGAAGAAAATAGCAAGTGTTCCTTTAAAATTCTTTTTACTTTATATGCACATATCCCCTCATGGTAAATATCTCCTTTGAGAGTGAGCTTCTTAACTTAAACTATTAATTTTTATTGTCATCATGCAAGCAGATATTTATATTGCACCAGATAATTTATAAAGCACTTTCATATTCATTACCTTTACTGCCACATTTTTATTGACTGTATCCTCTCTATATTCCCAAGTTACATTTGCATTATAACAGAATTCTTGTTTTCAACATATCTTACTGTGTTGCCTTCCAGCTTCCAGTTCCATGAATGTTTAGGTGTTTCCAAAATTAGAACTGAATTCTTATTTTCAGGAACACAAAAAAAGCACACGGGGTGCTAGGATGTCTCGTGTGTATTTAGGAAGTAGCCTATTCCATAAGTTGGGTGCCATTTGGTCATTATCCTAAGGAGAAAGATGCCAGAATGCTAAAGGGTAAAAAAAAAAAAAAAAAAAAAAAAAAAAAACAAGCAAATGTTTAAAAGCCACACTGACCATAGGGCATTTCCTTAAGAAGATAATAAGCTTCTTTAATTCAGTTCAGCAAACTGCATGTCCAGAACTCTTCCAATGAAGAGAAATAAAATGCAAGAAAGAAGGGAAATTAAAAGCTGCCAGATTTGGAGAGGAAATATATAATATTCACAGAACAGCAGTTCTAATTAGACAAATAAAAATTAAGAAAAGGTAAGAATTCTGTAAGAAGTAAAGCAACGCTCAATAATTATATCTTTCTTTCTTGCAGAAATAAATGATAGGGTAGTCCACTGTCAGCATTAGCAGCAGTTTAAGAAAAATGACTGACTTCTCTCTCTTGACAAAGACACTGAGTAGAGTGTGAAGTAACAGTATAGGGTCAGACTGTTAAATATTTCAGAAGAGGGAAGACAGTTTTTCTCATTGTAAAGAAAGAATTTCACTTCAGACAAGTGGGAAGTTCTTTAGTAATTCAACTGGGAGGGGTATAAGAGCTACTGAAAAATACCCTGTCTTCATTTAAAGACAGACTGTTTAGAAGCTAGTATATAAAGCCAAGCTACCTTTATAGATGCTTTTGAAAACCTCACTATTCAGTACCTGTTAGGAGAGAGGCAGGTGCTTCAACCAACAATGGCTTGTTTGAAGGGGTCAGGAATAGAAAGTCATTCCAGAGGCTTGGTGCTCATTGATACTGGGACATAATGCACCTACTTAGGCTCTATTTTAGTATAAAAACATCCTTACTATTGGTCAGAAAACCTTGCACTCTTATCCTAATAACTTTGTTCCAAGAGTCAGAAGCATTTTGCACCCACAAGGCTCTCGTCGGTTAAGACTTCAGTGTTATTTTCCATCCAGGTAATTATAAGTTGCAGGAACATCTTCATGGTCTATAACATTGTTGCACATATGTTATAACAAAACACTTAATCAGTAATAGAACCAGTTCAGATAGTTAAAGAATGTATTTGGTGTCTATCAGTGTATGCCACTAAACTAGCACAGAGCAGATTTAAAAACAATGCTCCATGCTTTTAGATCTCTAAAAACCTAAACCAAGCTAATAGATACAAAAAAAAATTCAGGTTGCCTTTAAATTTTTCTTTTAAATTTCAAATGATAATTTCATTATTTCATAATAAAAATACTTTTTTAAACAAAAAGAAGAAAATAAAAAATATACTTCGGAAATAATTATCCTCTTGTTTTTGGCCTCACTCATGCAATAAAGAAACAATGAAAAACTATACAGGTATTCTCTATCTTCCAGGGCTGAAAAGACAACCCTTCATCAAATCACTGCTCAATGAGAGGACTTTTATGGCAGATTGTATTTTGCAAATATTGTTGCAAAAATATGCCCCATGAGCTTCCGAAATCTTGCCACTTCCTCAACAAGAGAAGATACAAAAGAAGAGAAAGGGTTTTTCTTTCCTTGAAACTAGGCTGGACTGTGTGGCTGTCCTGACTAATAGAGGATTTGAGAACTGACAATATGCAACTTCTGAGGCTAGGTCACAAAAACGCCTGGACCCTTAGAATGTTTAATCTTGAACTCTCACAAGCAGGCGATGAGGAAGCCTAAGCAATCTGTGGACAGACTCACTTAAAAATATAGAAGCAAATTAAATGTTTTTCTATATTAAAATGTAGAAACAAGGGCTTCCAAACTGGGGTTTAGAGTGTATATATGTATACAGGCATATATTTATATGAATATGTTTATATGTATATATATACACACACACATAAACAAATTCTCTCCATACATACATACTCTATATATTTAGAGTATCCATATACACAATATATAGAATACACATATAACATGAAAAGAAACAATGGGGCCAGGCGCGGTGACTCATGCCTGCAATCCCAAAACTTTGGGAGGCCGAGGATTCAGATCACTTAAGGCAAGGAGTTCGAGACCAGCCTGGCCAGCATGGCAAAACCCCGTCTCTACTAAAAATACAAAAAAAAAAAAATTAGCCGGGCATGGTGGCACGTGCCTGTAATCCCAGCTATTTGGGAGGCTGAGGTGGGAGAATTGCTTAAACCTGGGAGGTAGAGGTTGCAGTGAGCCAAGATCTTCCCACTGCACTCTAGCCTGAGTGACAGAACAAGACTCCATCTCAAAAAAAAAAAAAAAAAAAAAAAAAAAAAAAAGAAAAGAAACAATGTATAGTGATTTAAAATGATAAAATTATGTATTTTCAAAAAATAGTGGTTATGTGGTGCATAATTTTAAATTAATTTTAAGTTAAAAAGGCTATAAGGCAGGATCAGCCATTTCTGTTTTTGTTACAGATGGATATAAATAGATATCTAGATATTTAAATATCTTGGTAGATGAATATAAAATTCTAGAAGACGTATCAAAATACCAACAGTAGTTGTATATAAGTGGTAGGATAGTAAGTGATTTTGATTTTTTTTCATATTTCACTTATCTGTATGTTCCAATTTCTTTTCCAGTTAGCATGTATTATTGAAAAATAAAAGTTAGAAGATTATATAACTCGAACTATTTCAATTGCTTTAAGCATTTGATTTGCTCATTCTATTGCCCATTGTGTTTACATAATGCTAAGCAGCTAGAAATACAGTTCTCTTAAAGCGCCTGGCAGTGCCCTTTAAAAATGTGTTTCTCTCAGATGTCTATGAATGCTTTTTGCAGGTGGTTGTGTGGGGGATGTAGAAATCTCTTCTTTGGGAAACGAAAAAAGAACTATAGATTACTTCCTTCCTTGAAAAACACTCCCTCTTGCCCTTACTCAAAAGACTTGTATGCTTGTTTCCTGTGTGATGTTATCAGTGATCTCTCAACAGCAGCTACTGTGGTGAAATCCATGAACTTTTTGACTTTATGTGGATTTGTAAAAAAATTCCTTGCTCATATTTGTTACATAACCACCAAGTTCATTGATTTTTATGCACAGATATGGGTAGTTTGTGTATTTCTCAAATAGTTACTTTTTAATATTTTATTTTATAAGGAAGATTTCAGGAAGAGTAAAAAATAACCTGAGACAACCTCCCTTTTCTTTGGCTAAGATGGTCTTCTAACATTGAAAGAAGTTCAATTTAACATTCCCCGGCTCAAAGTGGTGTCCCTAGGCCAACTCCCATAAAACTTGTGTTCTACCCTTTCTCTTGGGACCCTCCTCTCCCTTTCCCCAAAGTTGTACAGACAGGAAAAGCACCTTTGTTACCTGGATTTCCAACCCACATCTCTATGGTAGATGCCATTTTAGAGAACACTTTTCTAAAAGACATAGATTTGCTTAAATATATTCTGGAACAAAATGGGACATCTTTTCTGCTCTTATGGGGACTAAAAGAAAGTGAAATAGTTACTGTCTTGAAAAGCCAAGACTATGTTCAGATGGATGCTTTGTCCTCACTCTGCATAATTCCTGCAACTTGTTAGAAGCCCTTTATTGATTAGACTACAACAACTACCCACGAACTACTAGAAAGCATATGGTGTGTCAGCACAGAGAAGATATATTAAAACTGACACCGAATGAAGAATTTAAATGTAAAAACCATAACTCTAAGATATTCTTATCCATAGAAAGATCTATGTGATAGAAACTCATAATGAAAGTCATACTTAATTTCCATTTTGTTTACATTACATTTGGTTGGCTCAAGAAAACCGTAACACTGGACATATTTGATCTAAAATGTACACATATTTTTTTCCTATATGATTAGTGAAAAACTTAACAGAACTCATGGTGGTTAAAAAGTATTGGTACGATACTTAAATTTTGTAATAAAAATTCCCGAACTGGCCAGGGCTTCTGGCCAAGAAATATGAATTTACAAAGGAAAGTAACTATCTCACTTTCTGGGAAATGTTATTAGCTTTGCAAGGGGATGATTTGTGATTTGTCAGAGCAGACCAGGGTGCTTGGCAATCTGGCTTTTGGAAGACGAGGCCGTCCTCCTCCCTGGGAGTGCCTATACTGTGTTTCTGATCTCTGTTTTTATTTTCTGAAATGCAAATAGGATCAAATTTTTCTTTACAATTTGAAATAAAACAGGATATAAGACTTGACTATTTTATATATAACTTGAACTAAAATCAAAATTTCCTAATACTTAAAAATGCTACTGAGTGCTAGTTCAGATATACTTTTCTGTGAGCTCAGTTATGTATTTTATACTTCATTAAAACATTATACTCCCTGCATGTAATTGTGGGATTTCTTTATAAGACATGTAACTTAATGTTTCCAGGGGTTTCCAAACCCCACTTCACACTGGAATCCTGAGAATATTTTTTCTTGAAAGCATATTCCAAAACTATCTAGATTTATTTAATCAGTATCTCTAGGATTAGGCCCAGGCTTGCTGGAATCAAAAATGAATCCAAAAAAAAGTGGTGGGAAGGAGGGAGGTTGAAATAAACAGGTGAGCAAAAAACGAAAGGGATTATTTCCTAAAACTTACATGGGACATTTTTTATTTGTAGTTTCAAGAATATTGAAAAGCAGTTTTGTTATTTTCATTTGTCATTGTATCATTAGTATTTTCCCATGTCATTTAATAATACTTTGTGGTCAAGAATGTAAATATTTTAAGAAAAAAAAATTGAAGAAAGGATGTAAAACATATCTCTTATGGGCTAGACTATATTAAAGTATTTTGCAAAGTTTCTACTTTCTACTATGAAGTCAGTATTTTATTAAACTAATTTTTTAAGTAACTGGAAGACTTTTATTTCTACCAATATGGCAGAGAAAACATGTGGTTTATCGTATCTAAACCTACTAGATAAAATGAAAAAGCTAATTTTCAAATACTGACCTGAGCTGAGGATAAGCACAAGCAACAAGGCTCAGTATAAAACTTATACTGCAGATATGGGATTATCCAATACAGCATATATGATAAATACCTAAATATATAAGGAATAACAAATGAAATAAAAAGGGAAAAGGTATAAATGGCCAGACATATTTAATATTTAATAAAGAACTAAATAAACCTTTCAGAATAAATTACGTATACTTGCCTGCTACTTTACATTAGAAATTCAATGGATGGACTAAAGAACATATTAATCAAAGCAGAAAAAAGTCTTAGTGTACTGAACTGAAAAAATAAACCAGCATAAGCCCAAGGTGACCACAAAGAGGAACCATAAAGATTTGAGTGACATAGATTATAGAAAAATAACATGAAGTATATGTCTTATTGAAGATCTAGAAAGAAAAAAATAGAGAGATAGATTGAGCAAAAGAATGAGAAATAGATTGATAACATTTGAATATGATGAAAGATAAACATTCAATAAGGTATATACTTAAACATATCATAAGCAAACAGCTGAACACAAAAACAAAACCAAAAAGAATATTAAAGGTAGTCAGAGAGAAAAGATAAAATCACCTACTGAAAACTGGCCATAAGACCCAAAGCTGGCATCATAAGAGAAGCCAACAAAAGAGTGGGTTTACGTATCTTCAACATGATGACAGTAAATAGATCTTAACTTAGAATTCTAAATGTAGGAAGTCCATCTTTTAAGAGTGAAAACAAAACAAAGATGGCCCCCAAAATCTTACAAAAGAATTATACTAGTCCCTCATTGATAGAATTCTGAAGGATATGGTTTACAAAGAAAACAATGTTCGCAGAAGGAAGCTGCAAGATATAATAAAAAATGTAAGCAAAAGGTAAATATAGAAATAAGTGTAAACAAACAACTATTTTATAAAACATAAGAATGCTGTGTTGTGTGTGTGTGTGCGTGCGTGCGTGTGTGTGTGTGTACACCATCCTGAGAACACCATTTAAAATTTCAGGCTAAATTCACTCATTTATGAGCATGAATACCAAAACTTCAAAATGTCTTAGCAGATAAAATCCAAAAATGTATTGATAAGATAATGCATTCTGACCAAGTTTAGAGCATTCCAGGAAGATCAGGTTGACTCAATATTAGAAAACAAATTTATAAAGTGTATCACGTTCATGCAGAAAAAACATTAGATATATTTCAATTATTTGGTTAATTGGATTAACAATGGATATTAATATACCACTAATGTTTAAAACAGAACAAAACAAAAACTCCTAGTAACTTAGGAATAGTGGGGAAGTTTTATGCTCTAATAAAACACACACAAAAATATATTTCATCAACATCTTATTTAATTATGAAATATTATGCACATTACCATATAGTCAGGGATATAATTGATTTTCTGCTGTTACCACATCTATTCAACATTGTTCTTCAGCACCCAGTCACCACAATAAATAAGAAAAAGAAACGAATAGTGTAAGGTTTGGAAAGAAAGAGGTAGTTACTATGATTATTCATATCAGCATGGAGAGACAGAAATATAATGTGAGCCAGGAAGGTAATTTTTCTAACTGCTGTATTTATAAAAAAATTAAAGCATACAAATTAATACATTGTGCTACTTATGTAATGATAGAGAACATAAGGCAGAAACAGATCAGGAATGGTTTAGAAACAGATCCATACATATGTGGAAAATTCTCTGAATGTTAGAGGTTCTTTGCACTTCAGTGCAGAAAGGAGAGGTATTCAATAAATAATGCTGGAAAAATTTGTTATCTATATGGGGAAAATAAAATTATATTCTTACTTTACACCATAAACAAAAGCCAGTTTATTATGTATCAGCAACTTAAAATGTAAAAGGCAAACTTTTCAAAATGTAAAATACAGCAAAGGAGAATTGCGGTGATTTGAGTTTGGGTCCTTCCAAAATTCTTATATTAAATTTTGAATCCCCAAGGTGATGGTATTAGGAAGCGGGTCATTTAAGAGGTGAGTTTATAATGATGGCAGACCCCTCAGAAATGGGATTAGCATCTTTATAATAAGGCCCTAACCGGAATCCTGGCCTGTTCCACCCTGTGAGGACACAGAAAGAAGGTATCATCCGTGTCTGGCCTCTTGTGAGTCACTGAATTTGCCTTGATCGTATACTTCCACACTCCAGGACTGTGGAAGAAATAAATTTCTGTTGTTTATAAGCTACCCAGTTTATGGCATTTTGTTATATCAGCCTGGATAGACTAAAACAAGAATGTCTTTAAGATTATGTGCTAAAAAAAAAACACCACATTTTGAAACAAGACACAGAAAGCATCAACCATAAAAGAAAAGATAAATTCTACTACATCAAGAGATATCTGTGCACCAAAGGACACCATGAAGAGTTAGAAAATAAGCCACAAGCCAGTAGAAAATATTTACCTATCTATAACTGAAAAATTAATATCCAGACTATTAAGTGGGGATTTCTATGGATCAGAAATAAAAAGTTGAGAAACGGGCAAATAATTTGTAGGCATCTCATGAGGGAAAAACTGAATTAAAAATATGGATAATTGTTCAACCTTTTTAGTAATCACAGAAATGCAAATTAAAACTCGAAGAAGATAACGTTTTGCACTTACCATATTGGCAGGCCCTCCCCACGCTTCATTTTCCTCTCTCTTCTTCAGGAAAGCCTTGCTAATTTCAACCATTTGTTCAGCTTATTGCCTTACACAGAAACCCCTGTTGAAATTTTTATTGGAGTGATGGATCAAGTTGAGGAGATCTGCAGTTTTTTTATGATAGGCTTCATATTCAATAACATTGTATGTCTCTATTTAATTCGGTATTTTTAAATGAATTTCAATGAAGTATCATAATTTTCATTAAAAAAAGACTTGCACTTAATAAAATTATTTCAGGATATTTTAAAATGTTTATAGCTATTGTAAATGGCATCATTCTAATTATTAATTTTTCTATTCATTGTTGGTCTGTAGAAAGATTATATACATATTACTTATAGCTGGCAATATTACTCAATTCATTTACTAATTCTTAAAATTTCTGTAAGTTTTTATGAGGGGGTTTCTTTTTAACTATTTATATGTTTAATTTCTAATTCCCATAGTGATAGTATTAGGAGGCGGGTCACTAAAGAGGTGATTGATTATAAACCTATAGGGCAGCCACAGGTTTGGACCAACTGTGTGTGCTCTGACCAAATTGAGATGTACTCTAAGTGCAAAAAACACAATGAATTTCAAAGACTTAGTGTGAAAAAATGGAAACTGCTTCACTGATAATTTGAATACTGAATGCATGCTGAAATAATAATATTTTGGACCCAAGAAGAGCCAGGCAGAACAAGCCAGGGCTGGCCCAAAGCCAGGATAACTTGATGGCGGGTCCTTGACTTGCATTAAGGCTCCATCTTGGGACCGTTTCAGCTTCAGGTGGGGTGAGGATTTATTCAGGGGCTCATCTGTGGGAAGAGCTAAAGTACAAGATTGTGACTCAAGCAGGGCCTGGAATGAGTTCATTGAAATAACCCAACATGGATTCAGCTACTTTTGTTTTTAATTAGAGATTTAAAATCTGAGTCTCCATGCAAATGGAATTTTTACAGAATACAAAAATCTCCCATTCCTGAGAACTGTTTGAGGTTTCCCCCGAATTCTCAGTGAATTATTCCTTCCTTTGCTCAGTTCCTGTCACCATCCTGTTGGAACGGATGCCTGCCCACCATGATCCGCAGATTCTGGACGGAGACTCAGGAGAGGAAGCCGAGACAACGACGCCACAGTGCAGAACGGAGCCTCCCTCTTCCGGGCTGAAGATCTCAGCCATTCCGGCTGCATCCAGGAGCGGCCCGGGAGCTTCCCCAACAGTGAACACAGACCCAGGGCTCCTACCCAAATGGGGACGTGAACAAGCCGCTTCCCGCGAGACTGGGTGGAAGGGCCTCTCTCCCACCACGGCCTCTCTCCAACTGCTCCGTGGGCGCCCGTGTTTTCTCCTCCCGGGCTGCAGCACCCCACGCCGCGCTCTCCACGAGCTCCCGTCACGGAAACACCTCCGCGTCCCGCAGTTCACTCCCTGCTCACTCCTGAAACCTTTCCTCCCTGTATCTCCCCAGGGAGCCCACGGGGTTTCCTCGGCTTCAGCGCCTGGTGGAGGCCTCAGCTCTTCAGGTGCCTGTCCCCGCGGCTACCAGGGAGTGCGGCACCAGAAGCAGCCCAACCCTCGCTGTCTTTGCTGCCATTACTGGTTTCGCAGGCTTGTCCTGGGCTAACCATGGGCTTCCCCACCCTGCTCAACAGCTGCCCAGGGCTGCTGTGCACCGGGCCGCCACCGCGCCCTGCTCACCAGAGAACATACCGCCATTACGAGAGACCTCACCCCACTCAGGAGAAGCCGCGAGCCGCTCACCAGAGGCCTCACCCCACTCACCAGAGACCTCATCCAGTTCACCAGAGGCCATCCGCACCCTTTCATGAGAGGTCGCAGCTGCCAGCGTCCACGCTGAGGGTTGGTGTTTCTTCCCTCTCTGTATCAGAGGTATTTGAACCAGAGCGACTCCATCTTGAATAGGGGCTGGGTAAAATGAGGCTGAGACCTATTGGGCTGCATTCCCAGGAGGTTATGGCGTTCTAAGTCACAGGATGAAACAGGAGGTTGGCGTAAGATATAGGTCACAAAGACCTTGCTGATATAATAGTCCGAGGTAAAGAAGCTGGCCAAACCCCACCAAAACCAAGATGGCAACCTCTGGTCTCCTCACTGCTCATTATATGTTAATTATAATACATTAGCATGCTAAAAGACACTTTCAGCAGCACCAGGAGAGTTTACAAATGCCATGAAAACATCAGGAAGTTACCCTATATGGTCCGAAAAGGGGAGGAACCCTCAGTTCCAGGGAATTTCCCACCCCTTTCCCAGAAAACTCATGAATAATCCACCCCTCCTTTAGCACATTATCAAGAAATAATCGTAAAAGTAGGCAATCAACAGCCCATGCATCTGCTCTGCCTATGGAGTAGGCATTTGTTATTCCTCTACTTTCTTAAGAAATTTGCTTTCACTTTATGGATTTGCCTTGAATTCTTTGTTTTTCCAGATCCAAGAACTCTCTCTTGGGGTCTGGATCGGGACCCCTTTTGGGTAACATCTGGACTAAGCAACTCTTTCAATGAGGGATTTGAGAACAAAGTTCTTAGTGTCTCTAGAGACAGGAAGTTGGTTTCCTCCCTCCCCACAGTTATCCCACAGCTAAGAGGGAGCAGGATTTCAGAAGGCAGGGTGAGGGAGCAGTCCAGGAGCCCCACATCGCCGGGGGAAGCCCTTCCTCCTCCTTCGGCAGTAGGGTCTGCCTCTGCTCCTTCGGGTCCCCTGCTCATCTTTCCCCTTCCTACCTTCTTTACTCCCGGTTCCCATCCTAGTCTGTCAAACAGGAAGCAGGAGCTTACCCGCAGGCCTTTTTGGCTCCTTGTACATCAGCATCTTTCATGTGCGTCCATGTGAAGAGACCACCAAACAGGCTTTGTGTGAGCAATAAAGCTTTTAATCACCTGGGTGCAGGCGGGCTGAGTCCGAAAAGAGAGTCAGCGAAGGGAGAATAGGGGTGGGGCCATTTTATAGGATTTGGGTAGGTAAAGGAAAGTTACAGTCAAAGGGGGGTTGTTCTCTGGCAGGCAGAGTGGGGGTCACAAGGTGCTCAGTAGGGGAGCTTTTGAGCCAGGATGAGCCAGGAGAGGGGATTTCACAAGACAATGTCATCAGTTAAGGCAGAAACAGGCCATTTTCACTTCTTTTGTGGTGGAATGTCATCAGTTAAGGCAGGATCCAGCCATCTGGATGTGTACGTGCAGGTCACAGGGGATATGATGGCTTAGCTTGGGCTCAGAGGCCTGACATTCCTGTCTTCTTATATTAATAAGAAAAATAAAACGAAATAGTGGTAAAGTGTTGGGACAGCGAAAATTTTGGGGGATGGTATGGAGAGATAATGGGCGACGTTTCTCAGGGCTGCTTCGAGGGGGATTAGGGGCAGCATGGGAACCTAGAATGGGAGAGATTAAGGTGAAGGAAGATTTTATGGTAAGGGGTGATATTGTGGGGTTGTTAGAAGAAACATTTGTCATTTAGAATTATTGGTGATGGCCTGGATACGGTTTTGTATGAATTGAAAAACTAAATGGAATAAGAGAAGGAGAAAAACAGGTATAAAAGGTCTAAGAATTGGGACGACACAGGACATCTGATTAGAGAGTGCCTAAGGAGATTCAGCATAGTCCTGCCAGCAAAGATTATTTACTTCAGGAGTTAAGAGTGGCAATTTGGAGATAGCACCAGGAGATATCAGCTGTGATGGCTTGGAGAAACAGTGTAAACCGGCAGTGTAAACAAGAGCAGGGCATGTATGAGTAGTTGAAAACGGTGAATAGGAGTATGACTAGACAGAAGATAGTAGGGAAGACAAGTTTTTTTGGGGCACAGTCTAAGTTGGTCTGGTGTGTGGAATGAGACTGGGGCCTAATAAAAAGGAGCGTCTATACAGGAGCTCAAATGGGCTGAACCTTGTAGCATTCTGAGGACAGGTCTGACTTCTGAGAAGGGAAAGTGGTAAAAGTATTGTCCAGTCCTTTTTAAGTTGGTGGCTGAGCTTGGTGAGGTGTGTTTTTAAAAGACCTTTGGTCCGTTCTACTTTTCCTGAAGACGGAGGACCGTAAGGGATATAAAGGTTTCACTGAATACTAAGAGCCTGAAAAACTGCTTGGCTGATTTGACTAATAAAGGCTGGTCTGTTATCAGACTGTATAGAGGTGGGAAGGCTAAACTGAGGAATTATGTCTACAGAAGGGAAGAAATGACTGTGGTGGCCTTCTCAGACCCTATAGGAAAGGCCTGTACCTATCCAGTGAAAGTGTCTACCTAGACTAAGAGGTATTTTAGTTATCTGACTAGGGGCATGTTGAGTAAAGCTAATTTGCCAGTCCTGGGTGGGGGCAAATCCTTGAGCTTGATGTGTAGGGAAGGGAGGGGGCCTGAATAATCCCTGAGGAGTAGTAGAGTAGCAGATGGAACACTGAGAAGTTATTTCCTTGAAGATAGATTTCCACGGTGAAAAGAAAATGAGAGGTTCTAAGAGGCGGGCTAGTGGCTTGTATTATAGCATAGCCTGCCTTTGCTGGTGTGTGGTGATTAGGCCTGGTGGAACCGCCATCAGTAAATCAAGTGTGATCAGGGTGAGGAACAGGAAAGAAGGAAATATGGGGAAATG
This sequence comes from Homo sapiens, assembly GCF_000001405.40. Classification (NCBI taxonomy): domain Eukaryota; kingdom Metazoa; phylum Chordata; class Mammalia; order Primates; family Hominidae; genus Homo; species Homo sapiens. Next base: position 164,340,546 of record NC_000006.12, read on the forward strand.
GGGTGAATGTCAGGTGGATCAGAGAGATACAGTCATGAGGGTCAGGTGTGGTATCAGGAATAACGTGGGAGGCCGGATTGAAGTCCAGGCCAGGAACAATGGTAATTGTGGGACTTAACAAAGAGTGAGTACAGCTGAAGGAGCCGGGGAGCAGAAAGTATATGCGTCAAGATGTGAGGAAGAAAATAGATTTTGGAAATTATGAGAGCTGTAGGGAGTGAGTTGAGCATAATTTGTGATTTTTAGGGCCTCTAAAAGTATTAAAGCAGCGGCAGCTGCTGCACGCAGACATGAGGGCTAGGCTAAAACAGTAAGGTCAAGTTGTTTGGACAGAAAGGCTACAGGGTGTGGTCCTGGCTCTTGTGTAAGAATTCTGACTGTACTAACTATGCCTAGGAAGGAAAGGAGTTGTTGTTTTGTAAGGGATTGAGGTTTGGGAGATTAATTGGACACGATCAGCAGGGAGAGCACGTGTGTTTTTATGAGAATTATGCTGAGATAGGTAACAGATGAGGATGAAATTTGGGCTTGACTGAAGTAATGGGGTCTGTCTGTGAAGGCTTGCGGCAGTACAGCCCAGGTAATTTGCTGAGCGTGATGGGTGTCAGGGTCAGTCTAAGTGAAAGCGAAGAGAGTCTGGGATGAAGGGTGCAAAGGAATAGTAAAGAAAACATGTTTGAGATCTAGAACAGAATAATGGGTTGTAGAGGGAGGTATTGAGGATAGGAGAGTATATGGGTTTGGCACCACGGGGTGGATAGGCAAAACAATTTGGTTGATAAGGTGCAGATGCTGAACTAACCTGTAAGTCTTGTCTGGTTTTAGGACAGGTAAAATGGGGGAATTGTAAGGAGAATTTATAGGCTTTAAAAGGCCATGCTGTAGCAGGGAAGTGATAACAGGCTTTAATCTTTTTAAAGCGTGCTGTGGGATGGGATATTGGCATTGAGGGGGGTAAGGGTGATTAGGCTTTAATGAGATTGTAAGGGGTGCATGATCGGTCGCCAAGGAGGGAATAGAGGTATCTTATACTTGTGGGTTAAGGTGGGGGGATATGAGAGGAGGATGTGAAGGAGGCTTTGAACTGGGGAAAAGGTGGCAATGAGATGTAGCTGTAGTCCAGGAATAGTCAGGGAAGCAGATAATTTAGTTAAAGTGTCTTGGCCTAATAAGGGAACTGGGCAGGTGGGGATAACTAAAAAGGAGTGCTTAAAAGAGTGTTGTCCAAGTTGGCACCAGAGTGGGGGAGTTTTCAGGGGTTTAGAAGCCTGGCCGTCAATACCCACAACAGTTATGGAGGCAAGGGAAACAGGCCCTTGAAAAGAAGGTAATGTGGAGTGGGTAGCCTCCACATTGACTAAGGGGATGGACTTACCTTCCGCTGTGAGAGTTACCCGAAGCTCGGCGTCCGTGATGGTCTAGGGGGCTTCCGAGGCGATGGGGCAGTGTCAGTCTTCAGCCGCTAAGCCAAGAAGATCTGGGAAGGAGTCAGAGAGCCTTGGGCCAGAGTTCCAGGGGCTCTGGGAGTGGCTGCCAGGTGAGTTGGACAGTCTGATTTCCAGTGGTGTCCCGCACAGATGGGACTCGGTTTTGGAGGAATCCTGGGCTGCAGGCATTCCTTGGCCTGGTGGCCAGATTTCTGGCACTTGTAGCAAGCTCCTGGTGGAGGAGGTTCTGGAGGAACACCTGGCTGCTGCGGTTCAGGCGTTTGGAAGTTGTGTGCTGGAGATGTGGCTGGGGTTTGTCTCCCAGTGGAGGTAAGGAATTGCAACTTTTTTCTATTATTGTACACCTTGAAGACAAGGTTAATTAAGTCCTGTTGTGGGGTTTGAGGGCTGGAATTTAATTTTTGGAGTTTTATTTAATGTTGGGAGCAGATTGGGTAATAAAATATATTTTGAGAATAAGATGGCCTTTTGACCTTTTAGGGTCTAGGGCTGTAAAGCGTCTCAGGGTTGCTGCCGAATGAGCCATGAACTGGGCTGGGTTTTTCATATTTGATGAAAGAGCCTAAACGCTCACTGATTTGGGAGACGTCTGATAAAGAAAAAGGAGCATTAACCTTGACTATGCCTTTAGCTCCAGCCACCTTTTTAAGAGGAAATTGCTGGGCAGGTGGGAGAGGGCTACTCACAGAATGAAACTGTAAACTGGACCAGGTGTGAGGAGGGGAGGTGATAAAAAGATTATAGGGTGGAGGAGCCGAGGCTGAGGAAGAATTGGGACCTAGCTTGGCCTAGCGAGGAGCAGCCTGGGGAGGAGGGGAGAGGTCAGATGGGTCTGTAGAAAAGGAAGATTAGAAAGACTCAGCAATTGTTTGGGGTTGGGACTGAGGGGATAGGTGGGAGGGAAAGAAGGAAGATTTGGGACAAGTTGCACTGGGCACACAGACTAGGGAGGGACCGATGTGTAAAAGAATTCCTGGACGTCAGGCACCTCATACCATTTGCCTATTTTACCACAAGAATTATTTAGGTCTTGTAGGATGGAGAAATCGAAAGTGCCGTTTTCTGGCCATTTGGAACTACTGTCGAGTTTGTAATGGGGTCAAGCGGCATTGCAGAAGAAAATAAGGCATTTGCGTTTTAGGTCAGGTGTGAGTTGAAGAGGTTTTAAGTTCTTAAGAACACAGGCTAAGGGAGAAGAAGGAGGAATGGAGGGTGGAAGGTTGCCCATAGTGAAGGAGGCAAGCCCAGAGAAAAGAGAGAGTAGAGACACAGAGAGAAGGGATTCAGGGGTTCTTACCCTCCAGAAAAGTGGGAAAGGGGTCAAGGCACAGAGATACGAGGTCAGGGCACGGAAATAAGGGATTGGGGTGCAGAGATATAAGAGGTTGGGGCACGGAAATAAGGGATCCGGGCGCAGAGATATAAGAGGTTGGGGTGCAGAAATAAGGCATGAGGCGCAGCGATATAAGAGGTTGGGGTGCGGAAATAAGGGATGGGGCGCAGAGATACAGGTTGGGGTGCGGAAATAAGGGATCAAGGCACAGAGATATAAGAGGTTGGGGCGTGGAAATAAGGGATCGGGGTGCAGAGATATAAGAGGTTGGGGTGCGGAAATAAGGGATGGGGCGCGGAGATAGAGGTTGGGGTGCGGAAATAAGGGATGGAGCGCAGAGATATAAGAGGTTGGGGTGCAGAAATAAGGGATCGAGGTGCAGAGATATAAGAGGTTGGAGTGCAGAAATAAGGGATGGGGTGCAGAGATATAAGGGGTACTTGCCCCTCCCCCAGAAAAGCGGGACTTGCCGCTAAGGGTGAAGGAGAAGGGGTTGGGGGTTTCTTGCCCCACAGAAAGGCAGAGAAGGGTAGAGACACGGAGAGAAGGGGTTGGGGTACTTGGCCCTTCCCCAGAAAAGCAGGACTTGCCGCTAAGGGTGAAGGACCAAGGCAGGCGTCCCTGCGTGGTCTGACACCTCTGAAACCTGGGTGAATAATCAGAGAGGCGCCCCTGCAATGATTAAACACCAAGGGAAGGCTGCCTTCCCTAGGCCATGACTGGCGCCGGAGTTTTGGGTCCACGGATAAAACGTGTCTCCTTTGTCTCTACCAGAAAATGAAAGGAATTGAAATTAAAAGAAGGGAGAGATTGAAGTGTGGTGCCAAGATTCAAAGGAGAAAGAGGTTGAGGGATAGTGAGGGAGGTTGGAGAAGAGAGTAAAAAGAGGCCGCTTACTGCATTTGAAATTGGTGAGATGTTTCTTGGGCTGGTGGGTCTGAGGACCTGAGGTCATAGGTGGATCCTTCTCACGGAGCAAAGAGCAGGAGGACAGGGGATTGATCTCCCAAGGGAGGTCCCCGATCCGAGTCACGGCACCAAATTTCATGTGCATCCGTGTGAAGAGACCACCAAACAGGCTTTATGTGAGCAATAAAGCTTTTAATCACCTGGGTGCAGGTGGGCTGAGTCCGAAAAGAGAGTCAGCAAAGGGAGATGGGGTGGGGCCGTTTTATAGGATTTGAGTAGGTAAAGGAAAATTACAGTCAAAGGGGGTTTGTTCTCTGGTGGGCAGAGTGGGGGTCACAGGGTGCTCAGTAGGGGAGCTTTTGAGCCAGGATGAGCCAGGAGAAGGAATTTCACAAGACGATGTCATCAGTTAAGGCAGGAACAGGCCATTTTCACTTCTTTTGTGGTGGAATGTCATCAGTTAAGGCAGGATCCAGCCATCTGGATGTGTAAGTGCAGGTCACAGGGGGATATGATGGCTTAGTTTGGGCTCAGAGGCCTGACAGCATCTATCTGAACATCTAATATAAATGTTCCTAAAATTTTCTATTCCTTTTGGAGCAATCTGGGTCAGTTTGGAGGTTTTCTGGCTAAGGCGTTGGATGAGTCTACACACTGGCTTTCCTGTGCTTCTGCTCTGGCCGGTTCAGAAGTCTGCTTCAGAGCGGGTTTATTGCCAAACAGAATGGAATCCTTCTCCTGGGGCTTTTTTCTTGGCATCCATTGAAATGTAAATGGTACTACCCTCATGTTTTCCAAATTGAGTGTCACAGAACACAAATATCCAATGGGATGCTAATGGGAGTTCTGAAAAGAAAAAAAAAAACGTATTCTGAAGTTAAATGAGTTTGGAAAACTCCCCGTACCCGGAGATTATCATGCATATTAGCACGTTAAGAACCTGAGACATTCTTTAGTGAATGATTCCATTATTTTGTGTAGCCAGAACTTGTCAAACCTATTTAATCACAGAACCTTCTTTACTGATTAATACTTATTAACATTTTGCAGGACACTAGTATTCTGTTTATCTCAGTTTGGGAGACACAGGAAGATTGCTTTCTCATGGTTCTTTTCCTAATCCCCTACTTAGACAGTCAAAAGAAGACTTTTTTGTTATTGTTGCTGCTGTTTAGTTATTGTCTTGTAATTCAACACAATTTAATAATATTAAGGATCAGTTTTACTAGTGAGACTCAAACTGCAGATGTATTGCCAAACCTCTGCAGGTCTCCTGAAGGTCGCAGTCACTTTGAGCAGCTACTCTCTGGCCGTTTCTTTCACAGTACGCTCTCTGAGATTGGCCTGGGAAGATTCTTCCTCAGAATAAGTTTTCATTAGCTTTCTACTTCTTTCTTGCTGCTGCCCTGGAAATTGTGATGGCTGTAGGCTTTTGTATGACTGTCTTCATGGCCCATTTTTTATTCACTTACACTGATATTTCCTCCTTTATCCTCACAGAAACAGATTTGACTTCAGTAAACAAATACTGTTACCAGAAAGGGGTCCTGATCCAGACCACGAGAGAGTGTTCTTGGATCTCACGCAAGAAAGAATTAAAGGCAAATCCATAGAGTAAAGTGAAAGCAAGTTTATTAAAAAAGTAAAGGAGTGAAAGAATGGCTACTCCATAGGCAGAGCAGCAGCACGGGCTGCTCTTTGGCTATTTTATGGTTATTTCTTGATTATATGCTAAACGAGGGGTGGATTATTCATGAGTTTTCTGGGAAAGGGGTGGGGGCAATTCCCGGAATTGAGGGTTCCTCCCCATTGTAGAGCATGTAGGGTAACTTTCTGATGTTGCCTTGGCATTTGTAAACAGTCATGGCACTGGTGGGAATGTCTTTTAACATGCTAATGTATTATAATTAGTGTGTATTAAGCAGTGAGGATGACCAGAGGTCTCTTTCCTTGCCTTCTTGGTTTTGGTGGGATTTGGCCAGCTCCTTTACCGTATGCTGTTTTATCAGCAAGGTCTTTGTGACCTGTATCTTGTGCCAGCCTCCTATCTCAAGGTCTCAAGGTTGCACAGAATGTCAGCAGCAGGACTTGTTAGTAGCCTGGAATTTATGTCGATCAACTCTTTATCTTGTGTCAAGAATATCTGGGCCAGTGCAACGTAAAAACACTCAGGAACAGAGATGCGACACAACTCTTGCCCCTTCCTTCTGTCCTGTCTGAACACATTCCTCACAAAATAGGCTTATCCAAATATTGGAAATAATGCTTTATTCAGATTAGAACACATATCCTGACATGAATTCTGAAGCTGTCATCTGTAAATTCATGGCTTTTGCTGTAAATTGGGGATGAGGACATCCTTTTCCTCTGGGTTCTAAGAAATTCGTAAGTTAGAGATAAACAGAGTCACAGCAGTTGCTTCATCATTGCCTGGAGCAAATTCAAATTTATTGAAACCTTTAGGGCTTCCAGTAAGATAATTTAGCTACTCAGGCCTGAAGTCTACTCAGGCCTCCTACTCCTACTTCAAGTTAGCTGTTGGGACCTGCCTGTGGGGACAGCTGTGTCTGCAATGCAGAGTCACAGTCAATTTATCTGGCCAGGTGGGGGAGCACAGTGCTGCATCCTTGGATAAGACAGATGGAAGGTTGCTTAAAGGGGCTGGAGCTGCATGATTGTGCTTATTTCAGAAGTAACAGACCCATAGCTCAACATTCCAGAGCATATATCAAGAGACCAGAGATTCTGAACCTGCTAAGAAACAGTACTGTCATGGCAGTTGTTAAAATGCTAAAATATTTCTAGAGTGGTTTATTAAGGTCTGTTGCCCCCAGGTTTCCCCATGACCCAGAAACTAAGGGGTTAATTAATGCCAAGTAAGGCAGGGGCTTCTAGGGCCTGATGATCTGTAAGGCTACTAAGAACCTTGCACTTCAATTCACTCCTGACTGCAGAGAGGGTTTACGGACACCTTCTTCTTCTACATTTCTACCTCAGTCTGTTGAGGAAGGACTTCCTGCCAACCTTCTTCTAGATGATTCTGCAACAATGCCCAGGCTTTTTGCCTCTTTCTCCACACCTTGTGTTTTCTTTCTGGAGCACCTGAGTCTATTCTGATTGTGGAATATTGGCCATATTGTCATCCCTAGTCACTGCTGGTTCCAGTTAACCCAACAGAGAACAGCCCAGAGAGTCCCCCTCACCCACATTCTTACTTCTTTCCCCATCTTTGTAGGCCATAGGGAACTTCTGGGGAACATCTGTGGAGGTCCCAGCATGCCAGCCCTAGGCCCTGCATTTCAACCTTTGCCTGGCAGAGAGGACAGGGGTCTCAGTAGGGAAGATTGTGCTCCTGGCAATAGACAAATGCCTGGGGTTCACGTGGCCAACAGGCCAGGGCTGTCCACCAGGGGCCAGTGTTAACTGGAGCTGCCGCTATTAGCCATTCATAGAAACAGCCACCCCTACAGGATGCTAGCTGTTATGGGCCAGAGAAATACAAGGAGATCAGATGGCACAGGTGGATAATATTTTCAAGGGTACCTTTGGCCAAATATATGTCAGATGCTTGCCTGCCCCAGGGACTAGTGCCCCATCCCTTAAAGAGGAGTAGGTATTCACCAGATTTCCACAGGGAACAGCACAAATTCATGGGACACTTGAGTTTCATAGGGAACTGTGAGTAGTAAGACAAATTGTCAGGTCGTGGGGTGCATACGGAGGAGTGCAGAGAAGAGAAGATGAAGGCAGTAGACAAAGTCCTCATCGTGAGGGGCCTTGCCTGATGTTCTCAGGGGTTTTCATTGTTTATTGCAGCTCAGGAGTGGTGTAGCTAGGAAAGGTTTAATTCAGACGATTGACACAATGAGATGTGTGTTTTGGAAAAAATCACCTTGTTGCAGGAACTAAAAGAAGGATACAGTAGACATTGCAGTAACCACAGACACGCACACACACACACACACACACACACACACACAAACATTCAAAGGTGGTGAGGCCTGTGGGGCATTGTGAGGGGGTGTCACATTTCCAGATAAATTTAGTGAGTAGAATCAACATACCTGAAAGCAGGTAGACTGCATGGACATGGAGTAAAAGGGTAAAGAAGGCATTTAAGACTCTTCTGGGCCCTGGTTTAAGCAGCTGGAGTGATGTGCCATTCAAAGAAACTAGAACTATGCTCACATAGTTCTCGTGAAATTCTACAGGACTATGATGTTTTGGGTGCAAACCAATTCAGCATAAAGTGCTTAGAGGCCTCCAGGTTTTCTCATCCTTTTAGGAATGTGGAGCTAGATAGAGTGAACTCTATCCAGAGATCTCTAAATCCAGAGATTGGAGCTGGAGACAGAGGTTGGAGAACATTCAGTATGGGAGGCATTTAAAACTCATCACAGCAAGATTCCTTGGAGAGTGCGTGGAGAGAGGCCGGAGTGCTGGAATTACATATGGTGCAGCTACAGGTTTCACATGACCCTGGAGACTTAACATATTTCACCTGTAGCTCTGCATCCTAAAATAATTATCTAGTAGCACTGACTGCTTACAGCTGGAAATACTATGGTACCCACTAGGTCGACTCCTCTGGTGAAATATTAACATGTAAAGGCTAGTCGAGCATTCAGATCTCTTCATTCTTTCATAGAGCCCTGCTTCCACCTCCACAGGATCTTTATGTGTTCTGGTCCTGGTTTTTGGAACAGTCCAGCCAATCCAATTTAGCTTAAACCCTCCTAGTGTTTCCTCTCCATTCAAAGCTCAACTCTAGCTCTGTCCTTCCCAGCCTAGGTCATTTTCCTTTCCTTCACAGTGCTCTTCCTAAATTGTAGTTTTTCCTTATTTTTTTGTTGGAGAACATAACAAAGTAGAAAAAGTGATGGATTTAAGTCCCTTTTGCCAGCTGCTAGTGAGAGCAGTCGTCAACTTGTTGCTGATTTTGATCTGTCTGTGCCCCTACTTCATTTTGTGTGACTCTTTTAAAACATATTACATCAATTCCTGTCCTTCTCCTCTAGAACTTCATTATACATGATACGTTTCTAAGAAACATCTATAATCTCTATTGTGACATCACTTCCTAACAAAATTAACAAAATATGGAATGCCTAGTCCCTATTTAATGTCCTCTGACTGCTTTGAATGTATGCTTATAGCTGGTTTGCTCAAATCAGGATCCAAACTGGTACATCTAGTTGTTAAAATCCCTTGTTTCTTTTATTGTATATTTCAACTTTCTTTTTTATATCTTGTTTTTTAGAAAAACCAAATTATTTTTCTGATACACTTGATCACTTGCTTCCTTATGATACTTTTAAAAACCTATTTCAAATATTTAGGCAAAAATGATTCTGAAGCATTTCCCATTGCATCTCATCATCCAGCTCATAATATTTGGTTGATCCACTTTTTGAGATTATTGAGCTCAGGTGGTATCCGTTTGATCTATTCTTTTAAAAGTTTCTCATCAAAATTTAGCTGATAGATTTTATATCCAGTGAAATTTCTGCCCAGAGCCAGATTGTCATTAGAGGTGGCAAAAATGATTTCCTGATACCATCAATCCTTCTATGTTTATTAGGTATAATTTTTCTATAAGAAAAACTTATCCTTATATGAAAGCCGATTATACTAAAAATAGCTTGTATCAGAAAGACAGATTAAATACTCAAGTCTTTATCAGTTTTGTGAATAATGACTTGTTGCTCTAACAACCTGCAATGTTGACCATTTTAATGGTCACGTTGTCTTAACTTCAGTCACTTGTAGTCAGAGTTTCTATATTTTGCTGTCTTTGTTCTTTGACATTATTCCATTGATCATTCATTGTTTCCTTGCTTTGAAAAACTATGATGTTCAGGATCATCTTTTATTTGCCTTAGACAAGAAATTAGACATTGCTTCAAATACCTCTCATCCCTTTTAATGGAAAATGTTATTCAGAGACCATGATCTAAGTGCTAGAAGTGTTTGTTGGGTTGTCATTTATTCTATATCTTTTTAGTACGTTTTAATAGCAAAAACTTCATGAGCTCATACTAGTTCTTCCAATTCATTTTTAAGATTATTAATTCATTGATTTTGTATTTTTATCTATTTTCTATTGTCTGGTAAATCTTTATTTCTACCAGTATTAGTAAATTATGTATTTGTTTTCTCTTATAATAGTCATTTCAAGATCACAATAGTACTATTCCTGAAAAAATAAAGACTACCGAATGCAATTTCAGATTTACATATCTTGTGTCCCTCAGTGTGTATTTTATCAGAACAAAAACATTTTTATGTAACCGCAATTCAATTAGCAACTTTTTAGATCAGTTCTGTGTCTAGTTTTGAGCTCACATTAAAATTTCAATAATATTCTTTTAGAGCTATTTCTCTCATTGGATGCATAAAAAAGAGCACTTGATAAAATTCAACACCTACCCTTGATAAAACCTCTCAACAAATTTGGAACAGAAGGGAACTTTCTCCACTTAATAAATGCCATATTTGAAAAACCTATAGTTAACATTATACTTTTTGGTGACTCATTAAATAATTCCTCTCAAAAATTTTCTGGCAAAATGTACCAAATGACAAGGCTATTCACTTCAGCATTTTTGTTGTTATTGCAAACACTGAGAACAAATTTAAAAATTATTTATAAAGAGAAGATTGTGGAATAACCAATGGCCAACACAGTGGTACACTCTCTAGGTACAAAAAGTAATGAGAAAAAATGCTATAGGAGATCCAATATCTGGCTACTTCTGGTAATCCTACAGTCTTTTCAAATATTTATTACAAATTTTGTCCATAAATTGTAGGATTCTGTGGCAAGATGTTAGTTCCATCTTTATATTCCATTTTCTCTAGTGAGAGTCCTCCACTAAGCTGTTAAAGCGCTAATAGGTTTCTCCAGACACTGCTATTATTAACAAATTAACATGAGGAACACTTAAGAAGGAGGAGTGGGAGGGTTAATGTGGGGAATCTTCTCCCTTCATATTTCTTTTATGATGCACATTTTGAAGAAAAGAATAGATTTCAATTTTATGAAATATTAATTGAACATCTTTCCCTCCTCCTCACCAGCATCAAAGTTATTAATAAAATGTTCAAGAATAAGGAAGTAGGTGCTGCAGTTGCAATTCACTGTTACATCTGAACAGAAGAAAGAGTGTCAAGCCTTAGGAAAACTTTACAGAAAAATTTGAGCAGTAGGTTTCAAAAGTGTGGATGGTCTAGCAAGACAGAAACAGAATGAAACAGAATGAAAATAAACACAAACAAATCTTGCAAATTAACAGAAGATTCTAAATATTATAATTTAAAATATAAACTATGATTTCTTGTACTAGATTAACTAGAAGGAAACCAAAGTAAAGAGATAAATTTGGTCTAATAAATACAATTATAAATGTAAATGTTACTGGTTGTGTTGGGAGCGGGGAAATGATTATTCTGCTGGCTATTTTTCAGGTGTCTTACATGCACTCATTTCTATATAAATCTCAGTCCAGCCAAACAGATACAGTAGCCATTTTCAGACATAGTATTAAAATCTAGAGAATTTAAATTAGTTGCCCAAATTCAAAGGATTGTTAAGTATGAGAACCAAGACTCTTAACATTTTATTGTATGATTGTATCATATTTATTCATAAAGCTATGGTTCATGGGCATTTGAGTTATTTATTTCTACTTTTTTGTTATTATAATGTGTTGCTAGGAACATAGCAAACATATACACTAATTTAGGGGGGACCATAACACAGAATTGGAATTGGTGAGTAATAAAGAAAATAAATATTCACTTTAGTAGATATTGCCAAACATTTATGCAAAACAGCTAAAGTATTACACTCCCTCTATCAGAGCATGAGGGTTCCAGTTGCTCCACATCCTAGAGAATGTTTGATGTTTTTGTCTTTTTTCTATTTAACAATCCTGGGTTTTTTTCATTTAATTCTTACACAGTTTTAACTTTCATTACTGTCATGACAAATAAGGTCAATAACTTATTGGTCATTTAATATTCTTTTTAATGAAGTGTCTGTTTAATATTATTCACATTTATTATTATTAATTTGTTATCCTCTTTTTAAATTAATGGTAGGATTCATATATATATTCTGGGTGCATGTTCTTTCATGAATAAATGTATTGCAGATATCTTCTCACAAGAGATAACTTCTTCTGTGGTATGAAGTATTAAGAGTGTCTTATCACTCTTTCATGAGTGTCTTTTTGTCGTTGTTGTTGCATTCAATTACTATAATTGTATGAAGAATAGGTGCTCAGTAAATTTTAAATGAGGTATATATGAAGGAAAAACAATTGTAGACTCCTAAAATCAACAGTGTAATTTTTAAAATTCTGAGCAAAGGAATATTTATATCAGTTACTATTTTGGAGAGACCATGAATAGAGGCTAATATCAGGAGCCTTTGGTATTATTTATGCACAAATCTTAGCTTTTCTTTGTTTTTGTTGTTGCTCACTATCATTACCAAGGGTTTTTTTTGTTTGGTTTGTTTTTTTACTTTTATTTTAGGTTCAGAGGGTCACTTGCAGGTTTGTTACATGGGTAAATTTCATGTTGCTGAGGTTTGGTGTACAGATGATCCCATCATCCAGTAGTGAGCATAATACCCATAATACCTGATAGGTAGTTTTTCAGCCTACACCCCTATCCCGCCTTCATCCCTCTAGTAGTCCCTAGTGTCTTATTGTTGCCAGTTGTATGGTCATGTTTACCTAAAGTTTAGCTTCTGCTTGTAAGTAAGAACAGGTATTTGGATTGATTTTCCTGAGTTAATTCACTTAGGATAATAGCCTCCAGCTCCATCCATGTTGCTGCAAAAGACATGACTTCTTTCCTTTTTATGGCTGTGTAGTATTTCATGGTGTATATGTATCACGTTTTCTTTATTCAGTCCACTGTTGATGAACATTTAGGTTGATTCCATGTTTTTGTTATTGTGAATAGTGCTGTGATAAACACGAGTGCATGTGTCTTTTTTAGCAGAATGAGTCGTTTTTTTTCTATGAGTATATACCCAATAATAGGATTGCTGGGTCTAATGGTAGTTCTGTTTGAAGTTCTTCAAGAACTCTCCACACTGCTTTCCACAGTGCCTGAAGTAATTTACATTTTCATCAGTACTTATTTTTGACTTTTTAATAATAGCCATTCTGTCGGGTGTGAGATGGTATGTAATTGTGGTTTTCATTTGCATTTCTCTAATCATTAGTGATGTTGAGCATTTAAAAAATATATTTGTTGGCCACATGTATATCTTTTTTTGAGAAGTGTGTATTCAGGTTCTTTACCCATTTTTAATTTGTTTTTGTTTGTTGAATTGTTTAAGTTGCTTATAGATTATTAAACCTTTGTTGGATGCATGGTTGTGAACAGTTTCTCCCATTCTGTAGGTTGTTTGTTTCATCTTTCGATAGTTTATTTTGCTGTGCAGAAGCTCTTTAGTTACTTTGGTCCCACTTGTCAATTTTTTGTTTTGTTGCAATTGCTGTTGGGGATTTGGTCATAAATTTCTTGCCAACGCTGATGTCCAGAATGGTATTTCCTAGGTTTTCTTCAAGGATTTTTATAGTTTCAGGTTTTACATTCAAATTTTTAGTCTATCTTGGCCGAATTTTTGTATATGGTATAAGAAAGGGGTTCAGTTTCAATCCTTTGCATATGGCTAGCCAGTTATCTCAGCACCATTTATTGAATAGGGAGTCCTTTCTCCATTGCTGGTTATTGTCAACTTTGTTGAAGATCAGATGGTTGTAGGTATGTGGCTTTATATCTGAATTCTCTATCCTGTTCCATTGGTCTATGTCTGTTTTTGTACAGTACCATGCTGTTATGGGTACTGTAGCCTCGTAGTGTAGCTTGAAATCAGGTAGGGTAATGCCTCTGGCTTTATTCTTTTTGCTTGGGATTACTTTGGTGATTCAGGCTATTTTTTGTTCCATGTGGACTTTAGAATCTTTTTTTTCTAATTCTGTGAATAACATTTTACTAATTTGATAGGAATGCGCTGAATCTGTACATTGCTTTGGGCAGTATGGCCATTTTAACCATATTGATTCCTCCTATCCATGAGCATAGAATAATTTTCCATTTGTTTGTGTTATCTCTGATTTCTTTCAGCAGTGTTTCATGCTTTTTTTTTGAGACAGAAAAATCAAGAATGCAATCCTATTTAAAATAATCACAAAAAAATACCTAGAAATACAGCTAACAAAGGAGGTGAAAAGACTTTACAATAAAAATTACAGGCTGAGCTCAGTGGCTCACACCTGTAATCCCAGTACTTTGGGACACCAAGGCAGGTGGATCACTGTCGCCCAGGCTGGTGTGCAGTGGTGTGATTTCGGCTCACTGCAACCTCTGCCTTCTGGGTTCAAGCAATTCTCCTGCCTCAGCCTCCCAAGTAGCTGGGACTAGAGGTGCTTGCCACCATGTCCAGCTAATTTTTGTGTTTTTAATAGAGATGGGGTTTCGTCATGTTGGCCAGGCTGGCCTCGAACTCCTGACCTCAAGTGATCCACCTGTCTTGGCGTCCCAAAGTACTGGGATTACAGGTGTGAGCCACTGAGCCCAGCCTGTAATTGTCCTAGGCAGAGCCTGATTGCTCTGCCTAGGACTTCTAGTATTTAAATACTAGAATATTAAATAGGAATATTAAATATTCCTATTAAACATATTTAATAGGAATGGTGAGAGTGGGCATCTTTGTCTTGTTCCAGTTCTCAAAGGGAATGCTTCTAGCTCTTGCCCATTCAGCATTGATGTGGGCTATGGGTTTGTCCTAGATGGCTCTTATTATTTTGAGGTATGTTTTTTCTTATGCCTCGTTCATTGAGGGTTGTTAACATGAAGCAATGTTGAATTTTATTAGAAAGCCTTTTCTGCATCTATTAAGATGATCATGTGGTTGTTGTTTTTAATTCTGTTTATGTAATAAAACGTATTTACTGATTTGCATCTGTTGAGCCAACCTTGTATCCCAGAAATAACATTTACTTGATCATGGTGAATTATATTTTTGATGTGTTGCTGGATTTGGTTTGTGAGGATTTTTGCATCTATGTTCATCAGGGACATTGGTCTGCTATTTTCTTTTCTAGTTGCTTCTCTGCCAGGTTTGAGTATCAGAGTGACATTGGCTTCATAGAAAGAGTTAGGGAGGAATCCCTACTCCTCAGTTTTTTGGAATAATTTCAGTAGGATTGGTATTAGCTCTTCTTTGTATGTCTGGTAGAATTTGGCTGTAAATCTGTCTAGCCCAGGGCATTTTTTGATTGGAAAGGTTTTATTACTGATTCAACATTGGAACTTGTTAGTCATCTGTTCAGAATTTTCGTTTCTTTCTGACTTAATATTAGAATATGGTGTATTTCCAGGAATTTATCAATTTTTTCTCGGTTTTCTAGTTTGTGTGCCTAGAAATGTTTGCGATAGTCTCTGAGAAATTTTTGGATATCTATGGGGTTGGTTATAATGCCACCTTTGTCATTTCTGATTTTGCTTCTTTGGATCTTCTCTCTTTTTTCATTATTAATCTGGATAGCAGTCTATCAGTGATGTTTATTCTTTTGAAAAAACAAATTTTGATTTTGTTGGTCTTTTGCATGAATTTTTTTCTTCCGTTCAACTCTGATTTTGGATATTTATTTTCTTCTGCTATCCTTGGGGTTGGTTCTCTCTTGTATTTCTACTTCCTCTAAGTGCAATGTTAGGTTGTTAATTTGAGATTTTTATGACTTCTTGGTGTAAGCATTTCACACTATAAACTGTCTCTTAACACTGCTTTCACTGTGCCCCCAAAATTCTGGTACATTGGTGTCTTTGTTTTCATTAGTTTCAAAGGATTTTTTGACTTCTGCCTTAATTGTTTTCTTTACCCAAAAATCATTCAGAGGCAGGCTGTTCAATGTCAATGTAACTGTATGGTTTTGAGAGATCTTTTTGGTGTTGATTGCACTGTAGTCCAAGAGTGTGGTTGGTATAATGTTATTTTTTTGAATTTGTTGAGACTGGCTTTATGTTCAATCTTAGAGTGTGGTCAGTCTTAGAGTATATGTTGTGTGTAGATGAGAACACTGCATATTCCATTGTTGTTGAGTGGAGTTTCCTTGACTGTCAATTAGGTCCAATTGTTTAAGTGTTGGATTTAGGTCCTGAATGTCTTTTTCTGTCTCAATGATCTGTCTACTGCTGTCAGTTGGGTGTTGAAGTCGTTATTATCATATGGTTATCTAAGTCTCTTAATAGGTCTGTAAGAACTTGTTGGGTGAAAATATATTTGGGGTAGTTAAGTCTTTTGTTGAATTGAACACTGTATCATTTTGTAATGACCTCTTTGATTATTGTTGGTTTAAAGTCTGTTTTATCTGATATAAATAGCAAGCCTGCTCTCTTTTTCCGTTTGCCTGATAGATCATTCTCCATTCCTTTATTTTGAGCCTGTGGTTGTTGTTAATGCGTGAGATGTGTCTCTTGAAGACAGTAGACAGTTGAGTGTTACTTTTTTTTTTTAATATAACTTGCCTCTCTATGCCTTTTAAGTGGGGTGTTTAGCTCATTTGCATTCAAGGTCAATATTAATTTGCAAGGACTTGATCCTGTCATATTGTTAACTGATTGTTGTGTAGACTTGATTGTACAGTTGCTTTCTAGTGTCAATGGCTGTGTACTTAAATGTGTTTTTGCATTGACAGGTACTGTTCTTTTATTTCCATGTTTAGCACAGCCTATAGACCTTTTGTAAGTCAGGTCTAGTGATAACAAATTCCTTTAGTGTTTGCTGCTCTAAGAAGGATTTTCTTTCTCCTTTACTTACGAAGCTCACTTTGGCAAGATAAAAAAAAAACTTGGTTGAAATTTTTTTTTGTTTAATGATACTGAAAATAGGCCTCTCAATCTCTTCTGGCTTCTAAGGTTTCTGCTTAAAGGTCTGCTATTAGCCTGCTGGGGTTCCCTTTTTAAGTTACCTGCCCCTTCCCTGTAGCTGCCCTCAGATTTTTTCTTTCATATTGACCTTGAAGAATCTAATTATTATGTGTCTTGGGAATAGTCATCTTTAATAGTATCTTGCAGGGGTTCTATGAATTTCTTTAATTTGCATGTTGACCTCTCTAGCAAGATTGGGGAAATTTTCAGACTAAGCTCTCAAATGTGTTTTCCAAGCTGTTCACTCACTTTTTCTTCCATGAATGCTAATGACTTGTAGGTTTTGTCTCTTTACATAATGTCATATTTTTGCAGGTTTTGTTCCTTCTTAAAATTATTTTTTATTTTTGTCTACCTGTGTTTACTTGAAGAAGTGGTCTTTAAGTTCTGAGATTCTTTCCTCAGGTTGGTCTATTTTGTTGTTAATGCTTCCAATTGTATTATGAAATTCCTGGAGTAAATTTTCAATTCTAGAATGTCAGTTTTGTTCTTTCTTAAAACTGTTGTGTCATCTTCCAACTCTGGAATTGTTTTACTGTTTCCCTTGGATTGGGTTTCAATATTTTCCTGCATTTCATTGAGTTGCCTTGCCATCCAGATTCTTAGCTAAAAAGGACTACAACCTTTTGACCAGTCCTTTAAAAATATATTGTTCATATGTTGTGCTTATATATGGCAAGAATATTGTACTATTTTGAAGAGATTACAAAATGGGGAAAATGGGGCATATATTTATTATCCTTTTTCTCCAGCAAAACAATGAAGGCTTCTCCAGAAAAACAATGAAGGCTTCTTTCACATCTTTGAGTCTTTTCTATTTCACTGAAATATATATATATATATATATATATATATATACACTCTATCATATGCTTAAATACAATATTAGAGATAATTATAATAAACATTTAATTAGATCACAAAGTATGGAAGTATTAGAACAATGTTAACAGACTTGCTTAACCATCTTTTAGATTTCTATGATAATTTGAGAAATTTTATTTGTCACTATTAAATAACCAATTTGCCTAAATAATGTAAGTTACATGAAGAAGCTACTCATGTTTCTCATATTGTTGATAATCTATATTCTCCATATATGTCTAAATTATTTATACCAATAAAAAATAAACCTGATTCTTATTATATATAATTTGGCAGAAGCCAATAGCATATGGAGGTATCTTGTGCAACACAGGCATTTAACATTGAGGGTTACAGCTCAAAAACTGCACTGTGCAAACATTAATACAGCCTGCCATTTGCCAAGGGAAATACTTTTGTGAGCCTCATTAATTTAATTGGTCCCTGTCATCTAGTTAAAAAGGAGAAAAGAAGAGCATTTTCTGACAAAACCAAAGATGGTTAAAAGTCCTATTAGATTGTGTAGCACTTCAGAAATTTTCGAGTTAGGAAGGAAATTGAATTGAGAACATTTAATTTAGCATTTTGTAACACCTGCCTCCCCGTTCACTCCCCACAATCTCTCATATGGTGAATCATAAAATTTCTAACTCAAAAGGAGTCAGAACTCTTAAATATTAAGAGCTTGCACTAGTTAATCTCTTCTTTTTAATTGCATATAAATGTATTTTATCTCCCGAGGTATAATTGCAAGATTGTATCAATTCCACTGTGAATGTTCTTCTAACATCTCTCCAAGCTCCTAGCCTGAAAATCAATGTGGACATCCCTCTGCCTCCCAGAACTGGATGTTTTGCCAATTCAAAATTGTTTCCTTCTTCATTCAGTCTCTATTCCCATCAGTGTAGTTGTAAATTTCACCTTGCACTCCTTCTCCATCTTGATATGGAAAGGCAAGAAAACCTAATCAACCAGTTATTTCCCTGCTTCTGGTTCCCACTTGGTAATGCCACAAGTCTTTTGAAGATGAGACGGGATTGTTTCCTTGACCTTAACCCCCTTTGTGGGCAGGAACTGGAGTGGCTCATTTCACTCAGCCCACTGCCAGCCTCTCCTTGCAAGAGGGAGCATGTGAGTAAGCAAGTGTGGGAACCAGAGCAAATGAATGCTGGAACCAGCTGGTCACTCCTCTCTGGTGGAAGCAGGCTCTTTGTGGGCCCTGCAGCAGTGTCCAAGCCCCTGCCCTCTCAGCACCTGGGTTCTTGTCTAGCATCCAGGAAGAATCAGGTCACATGAATGGATTGAAGAGTAGTGTATGCAGAGGATTTTATTGGGCGGTGGAAGTGGCTCTCAGTGAGATGGGAGTTGGTAAGGGGATGGTGTGGGAAGAAGGCGATCTTTCCCCAAAGCTGCACCATCTGGAGTTGGTTGCATCTATCCATTGTCTCTGATGCTCAGCCGCTTCTATTTCCACCACTCAGCTGCTTGTATTCCTGACACTCAGATGCTTGTATTCCCAGTGCTCAGCTGCTTGTGTTATTTTGCCAGCTGAAGTCTTTTTATGGGCACAGGATAGGGGCATGGCAGGCCAAAAAGGCCACATTTGGATGGAAAAATGAGGTAAGTTCTTTTCACTTAGGGCTATGGTTCCAGGCTGAAGGGTGGGGTTTAGCTGTTCTGTATCTGTTCTCAGCTGTTCTGTATCAGAAACAGTTGTTTGGATGCTTCCAGTATTGCCCTTCTAGGGTCTGTTCCTGGGAAAGAGCCACAGTGAGTGTTCTGCTTAGTATTTGCCACTCTACTTGTAGAACATAAAAATCCTTCCAAGGGAATATGGGACTACTTTTGCTTCATCTCTCCTCCAGACCCTAGCTTCCTGGAAGACACTCAAGGCCATGTCCAGTGCCTGAGAGTGTTCTTTTTAGACTCTTTTCTAATCTGATTTTGAATCATGATCCTTCTTGTTTTTTTTCAACGTGCCTGTCACTAACTCCTGGAGTAGGGATCAGCAAACTACAGCCTTTGGCCCAAATTCTGACTTCTATCTATCTTTGTGTAACCCACAATCTAAGCGTGATTTTTGCATTTTTTAATGGTTCAAGAAAAATTAAATGCTGAATAATGTATCACACATGAAAATGATATAAAATTCAAATTTCACAGTCCATCCACAAAATTCTGTGGAAGCACAGCCATGCTCATCTGTTTAGGTTTTGTTTGTGGCTCCTTACCTGTTGCAATGGTGGTTGGGTAATTATCAATGAGATGATGTGGCCCATAGTACCTAACATCCTTCCTATCAGGCCCTTTCAGAAAAAGTTTGCCAAACTCTGTCCTAGAATATTACCAGAACACAGAATGTGGGGACTTTCTATTATTTCAGGCAAGTCCCTTAGGACACTAAAGGTTTGGCATGTAGAACCAAGAGTTCCCTAATGGGCCAACTAGAGATTGTGTTTGCACACAGATCTAGACCTCCAAATTCTCCTGATAGAAGTACCTCTACTGTAATGTACTCACACACCACTGCACCTCTCCCCTTAACCTTATCAGGTGGGTGGTTGTGGCTCAGCAGCCAGCACCAGCTTTAAAGTGTATTCAGCACCTAACAGTTGTGTCTTCTTGTGATAGCTTATTAAACCTTCAGTGCTTTGGTTTCTCCATCCATAAAATGAAGTCTTGAAATACATGGTGTCTGTGTTTTTTCTTGTTCCAATATTCCAATTTTATGATTGTACTGACAATGAAAAACAACTTTTAAAATTTAAAATTTCAAACCAGTTGTTGAGTTCAAGTTGGAAACATTTGATAGAAAAGGATTAATTTTGTCTCAGTTAAGCATCTCATACTGTGATAATTTTGTTTTATTTCTAAAATACCCCTTTCGTTCCAAACCGCCTGGAGCACTTCAGCATGAAACATTAGTCTCTGGGAAAGCCCACCAGCCTGAAACCCAACATAGCTTATACCAGAGCCTCATAAGCTTGCCCCTCAATTATTTTATACTTCCCTCACTGATAATGCTTTTCGTAGATGGTAAGTGATACAATTGAACTTGTTCATATACACAGTCTCCTCCCTAACTCCATTAAGCCAAAGTTTGTATTCTACTTTCTAAATTACTTAAAATCTGTAGCAAATTTAGCAATGCTATTTTGGTTAATTGCCCTAATCCAAGGAACACTGGCAGCTCCTCTGGGTCACCAGAGAAGTCTCCTTTGCATTATAAATGTTTTTTTCCACAGTGAAAATGCACAGTTTCATTGGACATTCAAGTTGTACCAGGCTACCTGTGGAGTTGAAATGTAGTAAACTACTGCTGCTACATTTTAAAGGACAGTGTTGAGTCATCCTTTAATACATTGTCACCTGCAAGTTGTTCCTTTGCTTTACTTAAGGACCCTTGTTGAAAATACACTTGTATAAGCAATTATCAGGGTCTTTTTTGGTTCAGCAAGCGGTCTTTCTACTGTAGATTATACTTTCCAATAGACTGGCTGTGCCTTATTTTCTCTCTTGTTTGTAACCAAAAGTTGGCTTAGTCATTCAGCTCTTCCTTTGTTGATTAGCTGTAGACATATTGGTTCCTCTTGAATTATTCAAATGGGTTTTCTTTTTTGTATAAAGCACACCAATGGTAGGAAAGTTCAATTCAACATCAAAGACCTACTGCTGCCCCTTTAAGGCCACTCTCTTTAGGATCCCTGTATTCACTCTTCTCTGCAGGTGTGGCTGCACCTGCACCTTAATTGTTCAGAGTACTTGGGTGACTAGTCTATTTTCAAAGTGCTCTCTAGGAAAAACAATTGCACCACCAACCTTGATAATGTCTCCCATGATTTTATAATCCTTGCAACTAGGGAAAGTTTAGTTTTTTCTACACATTTAGTTAAAGGCAACATTTTTTTTCTTACTCTATACAAATTGTATCTAGAAAACTGGGCAATATCATGGTTTTTATAATACAAATATGACTTGAACTGCTCCCAGTCAAAGATATTTACTCAGTTAAGCAACAATTGCAGAATAAATATTGATTGTTTCTATGTATTTCTCTTAGGCATTATTTGAAGAACAGTGATACTTGATAGTCATTATAGAAAATCTAAAAACACAGACAGCCTTTCTCTCTCTCTCTGTTGACAATTAAGGCAGAATGGCTTTGAATGGCCAGACATCTGCTCTGTGCTGTTTTTACTTTACTTATATTTCCTGGAAATTCACTTAGAACATCTCTGTTAAATCCCTAAGAAATGGTCCCTTAGTCATAAGTATGGCTTCTCTGTAAACAAGACGCAGGTGGAATTGATGAAGAATTCCTGTTTTCCCATCTGCTGCATAAATTTAGGATTTTAAAGGTTTGATATGGAGAATGCAGAGTTCTCTATGAGACACTTGGTATTAAAATGGCGTGATAAGGAATTCAGACAAAGAACTAGGGCTCAAATCTTTCTTGTTAAAAGTATCTCAACTGAAATCTACTTGTTCACCTACTGCTGTCTCCTTACATTTTTCATGTGAGTTGTTATGAACTTGGAATGGGATTACTGTGGAAAGAGTGGAGGAAATTGACTTGAAACTTTTTCTGAAATTCTCTCTTCCATTTAGATGTGGACTTGGCAGTCTATGGAGCTAATGACATTATTTAAAGTTCACTAGAGAAAGCTCTATACTTGCCCCAGATTACAGAAAGTTTCTATGGCTTGATGCAGAGAGGGGAGCCCAGTCAGAGCCCAGGCAGAGCCCAGTAAACTTCCTACATCAAGGAGAGGGAACCAAGATCCAGAAAGACCTAGAAGGCTAGAGTTTTCAGAACAAGAATACAGGAAAGAAAAGTGTTGTACAGAGAAGGAATCAGCATACGTGTGGGATAAAACTGCTCAAGGCCCAGTAAAAATCTGTAAAAGGATTAGAGAGAATAGTAATTGGTGCTCACACAAGGCTGGGAATAGTGCCTTTTTCCACCTGCCATGGAAAATTCATCATTTACATGGCTTGAGTAAAGTACTAAGGTCTTGTGTTAGAAGAGGGATGTGGCTAGCCCTAGACTAAACTTCGCTCTGATCTTACTAAACAAATCTTAAAGGCAAGATCCAAAAGAAGAAAACAATTCTTGGAGTTATATTTCATATGTTCAAAAAGGTAGAGACATAGTATATATGACAAAGATCAAAATTGAAGCTCCAGAAATAAAAACTACTATGTGTAAGGTGAAAAATACACTCAATAAGATTAACTGGAGATTAGACGAAAAATAATTTTCAAAATGTATACAAAGCATCAGTGAGCTGTAGGACAATTTTGAAGAAAATATGTAGGTGAAATTTGACTCTTCAAAGGAAACGGAGACAGAAAAATTATTTAAAGACTAGCGGTAAAATTTCAAAATTTGAGCCACAAATAAGTTACACATAAAAGATGAAAAAAATATATATCATGGTAACACTATCACTAAACAAAATAAAGCTTGAGGCCGGGCGCGGTGGCTCACGCCTGTAATCCCAGCACTTTGGGAGGCCGAGACGGGCAGATCACGAGGTCAGGAGATCGAGACCATCCTGGCTAACACGGTGAAACCCCGTCTCTACTAAAAATACAAAAATTAGCCGGGCATGGTGGCGCGTGCCTGTAGTCCCAGCTACACGGGAGGCTGAGGCAGGAGAATGGCGTGAACCCGGGAGGCGGAGCTTGCAGTGAGTCGAGATCGCGCCACTGCACTCCAGCCTGGGCGACAGAGCGAAACTCCGTCTCAAAAAAAAAAAAAAAAAAAAAAAATAAAGCTTGAGAGATGACATTAACACCTGAGAAAGATTTAATAACAAAAAGTTACCAATGATAAAGAAGTATTTCAAAATGATGCAAGATCAGTTCATTAAGAATATATAATAATCCAAAACTTGTTAGCCTCTATTGAATCTTGTACTTTTGCATCTTCAAAATACATGAAGAAAAATATGGTAAAACTGTAAGGGAAATATTCAAATTTATGATTCTTTTTAGGGGCTTCAATATATCTCTCAATAACTGATAGAACATGTAGACAGAACATCAGAAAGAATACAGAAGAACTGAACAATACTATCGACCTAAGAGTTGATAATTAATATTTATAAACAACTCAAAAACAGTAGAATACACATTTTTTTTCAAGGGCTTGTTCAACAAGATAGATAATACTCTTGGCCATAAATCAGATTACAATAAATTTAAAAGAATTCAAGTGATACAGGTTATTTTCTCTGACCACAATGGAATTAAATTAGCAATAAATCACAGAGGAATCTCTGGAAAATGATCAAATATTTGGAAACTAAAAAAATACACTTTTAAATGACTTATGATCTAAGAAGAAATCAAAAAGGAAATTGAAAAGTAGTTTATGTTGAATGAAAATATAAACATGGTATATAAAAATTTGTGGCATTCCTGTAAAGCTGGGTTTATGCTAAAAGTTATAGCATGAGATACTTATACTAGAAAAAAAGCAGTGTCAGATCGATAACTTCAGCTTCCACCTTCACAAACTGAAAAAAAGGGCAGATTAAATACAACATAAGCAGAGGAAAGGAAATAATAAAGATAACAGCAATGATAAATGAAATACCTAACAGAAAAACAATAGAGAAAATCAATGAAACCTAAAGGTGGTTCTTTGAGAAAATCAATACAACTGATAAACCTCTAGCCAGAGTGGTCATGAGAAAAAAAAAAAAGACACAAATTGCCAATACTGGGAATAAGAGAGATTCTAAAAATACCAAATGGATAATAAAATATCATAAACACATTTATTTCAATATATTTGAAAATTTGGATGTAATAAATTCCTTAAAGTACATACATTACCCAATTTCACCCCTTAAGAAATAAATTGTTCAGATAGCTATATATATTGAAGAAATTAAATTTGTAGTTAAAACCATTTTCACAAGGAAACTTACAGGCACAGATGGCTTCATGGGTAAATTCAATCAAATATTTAAAGAAGAAATAATACTAAATCTGCATAAATTTTTCCAGAAAATTGATGAGGAAGGAATATTTCCAACTTATTCTGTGCAACCTGCATTGTCCTAATATGAAAACTGGATAAAAATATTACAAAAGAAGAAAAATACAGATCCATCTTTCTCATGAACATAGGATGTAAACATTTGAACAGCATTTTAGCAAATTGAATCATACAATATTTAGAAAGAATGACATATTATCACCAAGTGGGATTCATTCTAGAATGCAAGGTTGACTTACCATTCCAAAATCAACCAACTTAATTTCACCATATATATCAGTTTTCTAATGTTTCATAACGAATTACCACACATTTAGCCATTTAAAGCAACATCCATTTATTAATATATATTCTGTAGGTCAGAAGTTCAGTGTGATGTAGCTGAGTCCTTTGGTCAGCATATTACAAGGATGAAATAAAGATGTTTGGTGGTTTGAGTGTTTTTCTGGAGGGCCTGGGGAAAAATCTGCTTTCATGTTCATTTTCATTAGCAGAATTCAGTGCACCTGTGGTTGTAGGTCGGCGGTCCCCATTTTACTCTGGCTATCAGCTGGAGGGCTGCCATCAGCTTCTAGAGGTGATTCATATTCCTTAATATGTGGCTCCTTCTATCTTCAAGCCAGCAACAGTGCATCAAATCCTTCTCATGCTTCAAATCTCTGATTTGCTCTTCTGCAATTAGTTGGAAGAAACTCTCTGCTTTTAATGAGCTCATGTGATAATCTCTCTTTTATTTTTTTTGAGATGGAGTCTCGCTCTGTCACCAGGCTGGAATGCAGTGGCGTGATCTCATCTCACTGCAAACTCCCCTTCCCGGGTTCAAGAGATTCTCCTGCCTCAGCCTCCCGAGTAGCTGGGATTACAGTCATGCACCACCATGCCCAGCTAATTTTTGTATTTTTAGTAGAGACGGAGTTTCACCATGTTGGCCAGGATGGTCTTGATCGCCTGACCTCTTGATCGGCCCGCCTTGGCCTCCCAAAGTGCTGGGATTACAGGCATGAGCCACCGTGCCCGGCCCTCTCTTTCTTAAAGCCAAATGTGCCATGTAAAATGTCCTAATCAGGGCAGTAAAATCCATCATATTCACTGTAGTCCCAGTTCTACAGATTATGCAGGGCCTATATCCTGAGGAGGCAGGGGGAATCTTGGGGAACATATTCAAATCCTGCCATTATCACCATATTAACAAACTAAAACAGAAAAATCATCATTACCACAATAGATAGAGAAAACACATTTTTCCAAATCAAACATCCATTGCTGATAAAAATTCTCATAGATTAAAAATAAAAGAGAATTTACTAGAATGGAAAGAAGGTGGCCGGGCGCGGTGGCTCACGCCTGTAATCCCAGCACTTTGGGAGGCCGAGGCGGGTGGATCATGAGGTCAGGAGATCGAGACCATCCTGGCTAACAAGGTGAAACCCCGTCTCTACTAAAAATACAAAAAATTAGCCGGGCGCGGTGGCGGGCGCCTGTAGTCCCAGCTACTCGGGAGGCTGAGGCAGGAGAATGGCGTGAACCCGGGAAGCGGAGCTTGCAGTGAGCCGAGATTGCGCCACTGCAGTCCGCAGTCCGGCCTGGGCGACAGAGCGAGACTCCGTCTCAAAAAAAAAAAAAAAAAAAAAAAAGAAGGCATCTATAGCATCCTATTTAATAGTAGAAGAGCTAAAGTTTTTCTTCTGTTATGGACTGCATTGTGTTCTCCAGCTCTAACCCCCAGTAGCTCAAAATGTGGCTGTATTTTGATGTAGGGCTTTTAAAGAGGTAATCAAGTTAAAAAGAGGCTGTTAAGATGTGCCCTAATCCAGCTGGACTGGTGTCCTTATAAGACGAGGAGATTAGGACATAGAAGAGACACAAGGGATGCGTGCAGACAAAAGGCCATCTGAGAACACAATGAGAAGGTGACTGTCTGCATGCTGAGGCAAGAGGCCTCAGGGGAAACCAAACCTCTGTCTTGGATTTTGGCCTCCAGAACTGTGAGAAATAAGTTTCTGTTGTTTATGCTACCCAGTTTGTGGTATTTTGTTATGGTGGTCCTAGCAAAGTATTATACCCCTTAAGACAGGAACAAGATAAAAATGTCTGTTCTTGCCTTTTCTAGCCAACCGAGACTGGCAGTTCTATCCAACGTGACCATGCAAGAAAAATTTTAAAAAACGAAAACAAAAAACAATAACAAAAAGAGAAAAATAGTGTGACCAATTCTATCCAGTGTTACCAGAAATGAGAAAAAGAAGTAAAATCCTATTTATTTATGTACAATTTTATTTATGTGACATCTAGAAAAACTGAAAAAACCTATAAAAATGTAGAACTAATAAGAGATTTTAGCAAACTTGTAAGAAACAAGATTAATATACTGAAACTATATTTCTTTATACTAGCAATAAAAGCTTGGTAAAATGTTTAAAATGCCATTTATAATACCTTGAAAAAGTATGAACTACTTTAGGAATAATCTGACAAAAGTTTTAAAAGAGCGTATACACTGGAAACTATAAAATATTATTGGAAGAAATTACAAAACACACTAAAAGGACGGTGTGTGTATGTGTGTGTGTTTGTGTTTTTGTTCTCCTTATGCCAGGAGACAATATTGTTAGGATGCCATTTTTTTTTCCAATTTGAAATGTAGATGCTATGCACTTTCAATCAAATATCCACAGAAAATTTTGTAGAAATGCACAAGCAGATTCTAAAGTTTTTGTAGAAATACCAAGAAACTAGAATAACAAAAACAACTTTGAAAACGCAAATAAACAAGTATAAAGTTGGAAGATGCAAACTATCTGACCTATCTTGTGCCCTGTCCCAAGCCCAATGTCACTTGTCTTAAAATTTTGTTATGGAAATACCCCATTTCTGGTAGCAATTTTTGTTTCAGTTATCTATCAGCATAAAATAAACTGTCTCAAAGCTTAGTGGCTTAAAACAATAATATTTTATTATTTCTCATGATTCTGTGGGTGAATCTATCAGTATACTGGTTGTTTGAGACCGCTCTCGTGGCTGGAAGCTTGTTTTGGGCTGGAGCATTAAAGAGAACCTCCCTAGGTGTCTGGGTTGTGGCATGGACTGTTGGCTGGGGAACCCTGGTTCTCTTCCATGTTGCTTTTCTCTTTCCAAGTGGTCTCACTTTTCAGTTGTCTAGCCTCAGCTTCACACCATGGTGGCTGGTTTCCAAAAAAACAAATATGTTTCCAGGACTCTTATGGACTAATCCTGAAACTGGCACAGGATTACTTTTACCACTTTACATTGATCAAAACTACTCAACAGGTTAGTCTAAGACAGGAAGTGGACTTCATTGATGGAAGTAGCAGGCATGTACAAGAATGGGAGGAATCAGCCTTCTCTGGAGACCATCCATTCCTAACCCTTCATCGACACGATCCAAATAGAACACCTATTTTCTACTTCACCTTACTACTCCACGACCGTGGTGGTATTTTTTATTTATTCTCAGCCCAAACTGTACCTCCTCTTTTGTAACTGCTATTTGCTATCTTATTGTGTTGCTATAATCACTTTCCTGTTTGAAGAATTTCCCACCTTCTTTATTGTGACCCTGTTCTTTCAGCTTCTTTATTGTGACTCTGTTCTTTCAGCTTCCCTTGCAACTAAGGTATGACTACATAGCTTAGGGTCTGTCAAGTGGATGAACTTACCTCAAACTTTAAAGACAGAGTTGGTATAACTCTGACCAACTTTCCCTAAAAGGAGTGGATGATGAATCAATATTATTTGTCTTGGAAGGTAATGTTGATGGTGCTACGTGCAGCATCCATGAACATCTAAATATATGAGTGGTAAAAGCTGCTTGCCAATATTGGCAATATGTCCTCATCAGACCAACCCTTTGTTGTGTCTGGGCGTTATGTCTGGCTGGATGGCCATAAACCTGATTTTCCAGTCCTCCTAGGGACTCTGTGAACTGCCCAATAGCATTCTCACAGTTTTATTCTTCTTTAATGAGTCAACGGTACCTCCAAACATGGCTCCCCTCCATCCTGTTCAAAGGTGCTCCCATAATCCAGTTTGCCAGGACAGAAAAACAAGTTCATCAGTATGTTTCCTTTTTCTTCTCCCTCCATATCTAATTATTCAATGTCTTAGGTTGAGTTACCTAGAAACAGAACCAGAGACAGGGCATTCAAGTGCACATGCTTTACTGAAGGAATCTTTAAGGGTGGGGGTGAAGCAGGATAGGAAAGAGGGAAAGAGCTGAGTAAGGTTGTGCTCTCAGGTCAAGCTTATCATTGGACTGATTTAGGGGTGAGCTACGAATATAAATCTCAGTGCAGAGTTGTACTCTGTGCAGCCAAAGGTAGAGTGGTCAACCATCCCGGTTTTCCCAGGCCTTTCTGGGTACTAACCCTGAAATTTCCATGTTGTGGAAAACTTTCTAGTCCTGGGAAAGCTGGGATAGTTGGTCACCCCAGCACACATTTGCACCCCTGTATCACTCAGCTATTGACTATGGGCAACCATCTATCCAAGGATGGGGCATATCACTTCCTGGGAGAAGCAGATCCCATCATTTAAGGGCAATTCGCAGGATAGGGTTTACAGCTGTGAGTCATTAGCAGCCAACCCCAACAGCAGCTGGAAGATGGGTCTTGGCCCTGTGAGTGAAATTCAGGCAGGGCACCGATGTAGCATCTACAGCAATCAATGGTAATGTTAACCCTTTTCCTGTTTGCTGGCAATGCTTACGGCTGGCAGTCCTTGTGGCTGCCACGTTTACCCCAAGATAACTTTGCCATGACATATCTCGCTTTTATTATTATTTTCGTATTGCTTTAGTGTATTGACTTTGGAAACAAAAGACATCATTCTATTTAAACCATTCTGGTTTTAGTAGTAGTACTTCCATTTACAAAACATAGTCATTCTTGATTGCCGAAAATGACAAATCCTAGAAAACGTAGCATTCCTATGCAAGATGTTAACATGGTTCTTAGTTGTTGGCCAAAGATTCATTTGATGAATTTAATTTTTCTGAAATAGACAATTCTGATGATTCAGATGATTCTGATGTTAGTTCTGTTTAGAAATAACTCCAAGAATAGTTTTTATATTTTATTTTCACATTGAAAATCAATCAGGGCCAGGTGCAGTGGTTCACGCCTGCAATCCCAGCACTTTGGGAAGCTGAGGTGGGTGGATCACTTGAGGTCAGGAGTTCAAGACCAGCCTGACAAGCATGGCAAAACCCTGTTTCTACTAAAAATACAAAATTATCTGGGCATGGTGGTGGGTGCCTGTAGTCCCAGCTACTTGGGAGGCTGAGGCTGGAGAACAGCTTGAAACCAGGAGGCAGAGGTTGCAGTGAGTGAGATCATGCCATTGTGCTCCAGCCTGGGCAACAGAATGAGACTCTGTCTTAAAAAAAAAAAAAAAATCAATCAATCAGATTTGCTTCATCCTCAGTGAGTGTGTTTATGTAAAATTAGATGAGTGCTGGCAGTGAATTGCATTTTTTTTTTTCCCTAAACAATTAATTTTCCCAACAAAAGATAAATCTTAGCAGTTCACTTCTCTTCATCCCTCTACACTTGTCTCTACACTTGTCTCTACACTTGTAGACAGTCTCTACACTTGTCTAGATCTCCATCATTTACCACTGGAAATACTGAGATTGCTTTTTAACAGACTCCCCAAGGAAAATTGGGCTGATGTTGAAAACCATAGAAGGCCAAAGCTGTGCTTTCCAGCAAATGACAATCTTTTTGTTTACATCTCAACTTTCTCATCTAAGAAACAAAGAAAACAATGATGCTGAAATTACTTTCTCTCTTGGGAATTTACCCTGCCCAAATTCCACTCATGGGGCCAAGGCACCCATCTTCCAGCTGCTGTGGGTGTTGGCTGCTAATGACTCACAGCTGTAACCCCTGTCCTGTACTCTTAACTGATGGGATCTGCTTCTCCCAGGAAGTGATAAGCCCCATCCTTGGGGTGGGGGGGTGGCTGCCTATAGACAGCAGCTGACTAATACAGGGGTACAAAGCTTGCTGGGATGACCAGCTGTCCTAGTTTTCCCATGTATGTCTGCACATGTTAGACATGCATACTCCATGCATATCTGCACATGTTTAGACATATTCCATGCCCACTATTTCAGGTCCATGCTCCACAGTGATGGATTTTATAATCTAGTCACCATTTGTTTGTTAAGATCACATAGTTTAATGTGAGAGAAAAGTGGTGTCTACAAGAAATAATGCAGGTAGAATGTGAGTTCATGAGTAGCCATTCCTATGTCATTCAGCACTTTTTTCCTAGATTCTAGAAACACTCCAGGAAAAGTAGGTAATTAATGAATACTTTTTGAGAGCTGATGAATGTCTGAATCAAGGGTGTATTTGGCATCTTCAAGGATATAAAGGATCATCACACAGATGCCAGCACATATATTTCCCATGCATTGGGGTGGCTTATTTCAAACTGGCTAAATATTAATTGATTCCGGAGGCTCGCGTCATATTCACAGGAGCTCTATTGGAGAAATACTGGCCTTGAGAGCAGCTCACTGTCATGTGCCAGTCCACAGAGGCGAAACTCAGTCTGTGTCTCTGGATCTAAGTGTAAGTTCCCAGAGGTAAATCCATCTTGACCTAAAGATGCTGACATCTGGAACAAGATAGTTCATTATAAAACAAATTCCAAAACAACTGGAAAGATACCTCATAAGATAATGCAGAATAACAAAGTGGTTACATCTTGGCTTCTATCATCAATGGTCTTGGTTCAAATGCCTGATTTGTTATTTTTTCAGCCATACGATGTGACCTGTATTGGTACTCCATCTGCATTGCCTTCTAGTATTATCCTGTCTTCATCCATATTGTGGAAACGGTGGAAGTACCTACATCATGTGGATTCTGTGAAGTTTAAATGAGTTTCTCTATTTGAAAAGTTAAGGGCAACATCTGTCATATAGTAAGTCATATCCAGTGAAATATAATGTCATACCATATCATACTGATAAATGTTAGTTGTTATCAAAGCCATTATTAAAACATTAAGCAATCTGGAATGGCAAAGCTGCCCACAAAGAATCTTCCAGATGATGCTGACTACTTAGTCCCCTTCTTCACTGAGGTTATAAATGGGGAAATGATATCTTGAAACTTCACTACAATTCAATAAAAGAATGTGCTATGAGTGGGGTGATGAGGTGCAGGAAATGCCACCATATGGAATGTTGGCATACTGAGTATTTTAAAAAGGAAATAGACAACATCATGTAAACACAGAGGTTACCTTCTGGCCTTTCTCCTCTGAAGCAGGCCATAAAAGAGTGATCTGATCTACCTTCCATGAAGGTAGGTCCTAAGACCCTTATGTTCTCTATACATGGAGGAAAGGAATGAAGACGCAGAGAAGACATGGCAAGAAGAATCTGAACAAACTGGCCCTCTAAGTCCACCCCCCAAGTTTGTTGCTATCAGATCTTACTCTCTGGCAGTCAACCAAACTTCTGCATGACTGTTCACAGACATAAGGTGTTTCCCTGGTCTTCATTTCCGAAAGATCCCTTGCGACATAAAACTTTTATTAAGTAGATTTGTTATGCTTTTCTCTTGTTAATCTGTATTTTGCTATAGGGGTCTAGGTCATGAACCTAGAAATGGGTAAAGACACATATTTTTTTCTTCTCTATAGAGGCACGCTAAATAATAAAGAAGTTTATAAGAGCTTTCTTCCCAGGAAATAAATTTCTTTTTGAAAAGAGTATTAACTTTTATAAAACAATTATGAAAATAACTCAGCCAACATAGAAGAGTTAAGTTAAAAATAGAAAAAGAAAGGAAAAGGAAATATCTTTCTAAATCATTTCACTCAGAAAATGAAATTGCCAATATCTGGTGAACTTGATTTCAGATATAGCTCTAAGCTTACATGCAGTTGAAGGCTTGATAGATGAAATACTTTTACAAAAATTACACATAATATACATGATTCTTAAAATAACATTTTAAATGTAATTCTACTTGAATTTAAAGTGGATTATAGACTAAATAGGCACTGACTAAAAGAACTTACATATTACTGAAATAAAAGAGATTATTAGCCTCTGAGAGAGCTCTCAGAAGCTAAGGTGATAAATTAAAAGCTCAACATTATCATGTTATTGTAGCCGTATGAATCCAATTTGTTCAATATGTATTGATCTAAAATGGGGTAAGCAGAGGAAATGTGCACACTGCATTTTCCTCTCATCACCAATCCTGAAGGCTGTCTGGCTTTTGTTTAGTCCTTGTTTTGTTTTGTTTTGTTTTTTAATGCATTCAATTTTCAGTATCAGTCCCTTTTATGATATTTCTTAAAAAAGAATTCTTAACTTGTATTTCATGTTTTCTTTGGCTGAATATCATATTCAAGATTATTTTCTCCAAAATTGCTCATGGGTATAGTATACCCTGAATTTTTAAATGTTGCCTTTTATTTTTAAGTATAATTTTGTTGGTATAAATTTCTCAAATCTCTTTGTTTATGAGACATTTTTGTACAGTGATTCATATAATTCTTGATTAAGGGAGTTCAGAACTTTTCTAGATTATATTGGTACTAACTTTTTTTGTGTCATTACCTCCCCAGTACTGACTATACAAATTTGTACAGATTTTTCTCTTTTTATACCAGAAAAGTTCCCTACTTTTACATTCACGATACTTCTATGTATTACTTGTAAACTTGTCTTCTTAATGTTCAATCACCTTATTGAAAATTATATTTATGTTCATTTCCATTTCAAATCAACTACTTCTCACTTTACCGTATTCTTGACACATTCATTATATATTTTTCTTCTACAGCAGCTCTTACTTCTGTAATAATTTAATGTATCTTGCCTCTATTATTTTCTCATTTCTGCTGGTTTACTTTTCATTCTCATACCATTATCTTACTTTCTTGAAGTCATTTTTTAATGATGAACATCACATTTTAAAATAATTTATTTAAAATAAATCTATTTACTCAATTCTCTGTTAATTCTTTTCATGATATATATTCTTCAAACTTCTGTTAAATCAACTTCTCACATCAATGTTTTTTATTATGCTCTGTTACATTAAAACCCATTGCTCTCACATTTTCAAAGGATACTTTACCCGAGGATAATTTTGCAACATCATGCAATGGTAATTTGGAAATTATTGGTTTACCGAGTTATGCAGATCTTCTAAAAGTTGCCAAATTTCATAATCCAGTATCAAAGAGATCACATTCATTAATATCACCACAGCCTTATCAAGAAAGTCTTTAAATGATGGGAAGTTGTTGGTCTCAGAATAGTGGATATGATTTTTCCAAAATTTGAATTTTTCACATGAACGCTTGAATTTTATCATTAGCAACAAATGTCAGTTGTTTTCCTGTATATGACAGGTTCACTTCCCTTATTTTTTTTGACAAAATATCTGCCAAACTCTCAAGTCAAAATAACCAGTTTGTCAGTTTCTCAAGTAAAAATGACGTTAAATGAAAGAAGCAGTCATTTGCAAATGTAACAATGACGCGTGATTTTCCTGGAGACAACCATCCCACTTTGGTAGGTACCAGAAATCCTTTATGTACTTCACATTTCATCAAACAGGATATTAAAAAAGACATGTACCCAAGGGTTGATTTTAATAAAGTTAACACTTTTTATTGCTTCAGTGAGGATATTCTTAAGTGAAACTGGCATCTTTCCCCACTGAATTGCTATGAAGAGTACAATGACTGTTAGTTCAGATTGGTGACATTGCCTTGATTTGTGCTAAGCCCTCAGCTGTTTTACTCATTGCTTTTGCATCATCATTTGCAAATGTCAGCACAACAACTAATATCTCAATATTGTTGTACAAACAGTTTTGACTTTATGTACTTTGGAGATGGTCTCAGGGAACCTCAGGAATCTATGGATCCTTTTAATTACTAAGTTTAGCAAAAGCTATGGAAGAAACTGCTATCCCCTCATGGTGGTGGAATTAGTAGTAAGAAGGAATCAATCTATTCACCTCTCTCTTTGTATTTTTAATTGTTTCCACTCATATGTTACTTTTATAAATTATTTTGTAAAACTCAATTAGGAGAAATAATTTTAAAAATTACCATCATAATCAGCAAAAGCAATTTAGCCCAGGTCAAAACATAATTTTATCTCAACTATTCTGATATCTGCCTTAATGTGACCTCTATTTTTAAAATAGATGTCTAATACTCATTCAACTGATGCTTAGAAAAATGCTAAGGAATCTATAATTGTGCTTTCCAATTATATATTTTGTACTTCGGATAAATGTTTCATTGATTTATATAATCTAAAGTTTAACAAATAACCACATTCAACTCAGGCAAAATCAAAAATATAGTTTGACTCTATGATCATCAGTATGTAAATAAATAGGCAGGTGAAATCTTAATTTAATCTTTTAGAAAGAAATATATTTAAAATTGCTTGCTGCACAGATAAGTTAATAAGCTTCACCAAATCATGCAATAATGTGAAAAAAATTTTAAGTCCCCTAAGAGTGCCAAATATATGCCATTATTCAACAGCCAGCTCCATTTTTAATGATTTCCCTGAGCTACAAAGGCAAGTTGAATTGAATGATTTAATCAGCACACTATTTCCTATTTTCACATTTATGTATATCAAACTGAGAATATAATCACTCACATTATTTAGAAACTCTTTTATGTCCTGAATAAGTCAAGTGTATTATTATGAGCTTATTTGGCTGGAAGGAACCTGGATTGTATCTGTTCTACATAAACTGATTATATTTTAATTGCATTTACCATATTCCTTATAGATTTTGTTTGATATAATTAAACCAATTAAACTTATAACACACTCACAGAAGGTGCTAAGAAAAAAAAGAGTAAAGAAAAACTACATTCTTCACTACTTGATAGTGGTTTGAGCTTTTTTAGTACTAGATTAGACATCATTGCAATTAATTGAGTGTAATTAAGAAGTAAAGAGATGTTACTGTGGTCACTCATCAAGTAGTGTGATAGCAAGTGCTGAGGCACTGTTGACTGAAATGCTATTAAGGAGATGTTTCGATATCATTTATCGCAATAGATACTCATCTGACTTAGGGTTCCAAGGACAAAGCTATAGACCCAATGAGTATTCAAATGTTAATTGAAAATTCTAATAATATTATAAGGATGTGAAATTAAAACAATTATCTCATCGGTGCAGAAGTTGGCAAACGTTTTGTTAAAGAGCTATGTATGAATATGTTGCAACTATTCAACTTCACCAAGGTGATGTGAAAAGAGCCACACAAGATGCCGATAAAACTTTACTCACTGCAACAGGTAGACAACCAGCAGTCACAGTTCACTCAACAGCGTGTCCTCGAGAAGTAACCTCTAACCTAGTGATTGTTATAAACTGCATTCATTCTTAGAAGAAAACATGTCAGAAGTGAAAAGCAGGTCTAAGGGTGGAATAATCTATTTCTCTACCCATCTTAGGTTGTCCAGCTGGGGCCCCATAAATTAGACTGGCAAAAGACAAACTGACAAGAGAGCAAACGTTTGTTAACATGGGATGAGTAACTTGAATGTTTGGTTATATCTTGGACTTATATAATATTTTAGCAAAGGAACAGGAAAGAGAAGGGACCAGACAAAGGAAAAAGGCCTTGAGTCTCCAGGGGTATTAAATTTTCAGAAGGCAAATATACGAGAAAGGAATGAAAGATAAGGGCTAGCTAGTAAAGCTTGTTATATAGAGTCTTCTGGTGCAGATTCCAGGCTAAGAAGGGTCTAGAATGATCTCTGCTGATTGACTCTTGTCCTTCCTAGTAGAGAGGGATAACTTTGTAAATTTATGTCCTGTTTTTGCCAGATAGGAGGAGAGCAGAGAGCTTTTCCTGAGGTTGCTGCTTCTTAATTGCCTTCAGCTCAAAATAATTCTTATGCCAAAGAGGCATATTTTGGGGCAATATATTCTGGTTACCTTTATTGGTTTGCATTTTATTTTGACAGGGGCATGTGAAGCGTCACCAACAGTCCCTGATACATAAGACTATTCTAAAAGCAAGCAAAAGTTGGATTTAGTTTGGGAACAAAATGAAAGGCCCTATTCTATTTGATCTTTCTTTGAGTTTGTTGATACAAAATAGATTCACCCAAAATTTGAAAGAAACAAGGCAGGAGTTGATGAATACTGCTTTGTTTTTCCTCCTTTTAGAAACTGATATAAAGCAAGGTTTAATCAAGACCTTTCAAAGAGGCTCGCTTAAAAGTCAGCAGTTTCTCTGCTCATTATCTCCTGAGTGAGATGCTCACAAATAAGTCACTCTGCCTGTATTTTAAGGGATTAGTGTGGGAAGCTCCTGAGATGCCAACAGAAACTTCAAAGTGCCATTATTTTATGACTATGGTTTAGGGGAAAGGATGTCGAAACTAAGACATCTGTGAAAGCATTTGCTACACTGATAATGGAAACCCCTTCCGCATCTGTTTTGAAATCTGGGAGATAATTGTCCAAGCGAAGCTCTGTTTCAAGTAACCGTCAAGCCTCCAAACTGAAGAAAGCTGTTCTAATTCAGATTCTAAGCCATTAACTTTCTTCTGGAAGGTCATGTGCCCATCATTGACATGAAAATATTTCCTGTCTACGTGGCCTCACAGCCCTGGGCTAATCCAAACTGCTCTTTCATTCCTTGCATAAAACCTTAACATCACTTTCTTCTTATTCATGAAATGCAGTTTCTAGGGCAATGCATTTTCTCCACTTT
Organism: Homo sapiens; assembly: GCF_000001405.40. Classification (NCBI taxonomy): domain Eukaryota; kingdom Metazoa; phylum Chordata; class Mammalia; order Primates; family Hominidae; genus Homo; species Homo sapiens. The sequence continues at coordinate 164,377,833 of NC_000006.12, forward strand.
GAGAGGGGTAACGTCAGCTACAGATACAGATATCATTTGAGTTTTTTCTCCATACATGAAAAGTTTGCTTTCCATGCTGGCAACCACGGTGATGTCTGGAGAAGACTCCTGTTTTAATCAAATCTTTAAAAAATATTATTTGCACATTAAATGAAATAAAACACTCTCCAGCTTCTCTCCTTTGCCCTTGCAACTGTGAACACACTATGCCTACAAAGCTGCTATGTCTCACCTTAAAAGTCATTAAAATGTAATAACTAAGCCTCTACAGCTATTGTCCCCAGAAAAAAAAAAACACATCAACACTTGCAGAGTGTATTTAGTTTTGAGGCTATAAGCGCTCCTTGCAAATGTTTGAACATCTCCATTCCTTAAAATAAATACACAAAGCAATTGTAGATGCCTTCATTCTCCTATGCTTGTTCACACAATTTACTAATTCACAAAACAGGTCATCCAAAATGGGTCATTCAGTTATTGGCATAATTATCCAGGTTCAGTTGTTAATATAATTAGGGGTAATGTAAATGTGAGCAATTTTCCAAACCATAATTAATAGGGCACAACAATACACAGAGAAATAAAAGCCACAATTTTCCTAAATTGCTAGTCTAGTGCTCATTAGAGTAAGCTGTGTGGGAGCATTTGCCATGCACCAGGCCCTAGGCAGGGGCTTTAAACAGATCATATCATTCAGTCCTGGACAGTCCCCATTAAACACATCAGAAACTGAAGCTGACAGAGGTTGAGCCCTTTGTTCACGTAAGCAGTAAGTGGTAAATTAAACCTTTGTAGTTGGGTCTGTCTAATTTTGATCACTGTGCCATAGTACCTACTCCTAGATTAAACTTTTGAAAATAAATAAATCGTTTGGAGTTCCAGGGCCATCCTTTTTGGGATTATTTATTTGGATATGTTCTTGGGGGAAAATGAAAAGAGGACAGGAAGTTGAGGGAAAGACCCCTGCCTCCTGGATGCTCTTTCTACCACCTCTGTGGGCTTCGCCGCCTCTTCTCACTCACCCCTTCCACGGAGAATGGTCAACCTGATCCACTACACTGCAGAACAAGTTACTCCACATCTGCTAGGAAGTAGTGCCGCCGTATGCTAAGAGTTTGTTGATAGAGACAGTTAGCACTCCCTCTCACTTATCCCGGGGCCACTTTGTAAAATGTGGCTGCCCTCTCATCACTCCCTTTTCACTAGCAGGCCTTCTGCCAAGAGGGGGAAGCCCATTAAGACTGAGGCAAATTGCACCCCACATTCAGACATCTGAAATCACACCTAAAGGAGTCTTTTTATGGGACTTGGGCTGTCTGTGGTATACTCCGGGCTACGAATGGCCGTGCAGACTGGGGAACAGTGAGAGACAAAGGAGCAGGTGCAAAGAGAAGTAGAATTGAGAGATGGAGAAAGAACAGCTGAGTCCATCCATTTTCTACTTTCCTGAACTCTCAAGGCATTCTTGCCTTGGTTTCGGAGAGACACAGGGTAACCTGACAATAAAATCCCCATGTGGGTGTAAATGATCTTTAAGTGGTTTTTATTTGTTTCAGCGGAAGCTTTCTAAGGGATATACTAATCAATGTTCAAAATGTCCCCACTAATAAACTCTTGGATTAACTCGAATATCTGCGAGGTCCTTAGCACAGATCTGCAATCTGCTCACTTGTTCTCTGGTCCATTCTTTTGAAGTCACCTTCCATGGCTACGCGATGCTTCTCAAACATTTTTGAGACAAACGGTCTGAGAAATATTTTTTAAATAGTTTAAAGCTTATGGGAATTCTGATTAATATACCTTCCCAGCAAGAGTTATGGTTCTTAGATGCAGCAGTGCCAGGATATTTTTTCCTATAATGAGATTCCCAACAATTTTTTTTTATACAACTAACTGCTTCTTTAAATAATGATATGGAATTTACATGTAAACCTTTATTCAATAAATCATCTTCGTGGATGGATATTTTCAACACTAGTGTTATATTTTACAATGCAAAATGTAAACACTTTGCTTTTTATGCCTTCTTTTAGTGTTATGAATTATCTGAAAGAATGTTTTATTGATTGTTCCACCATGGCTTATGCCCTTTTATTCCTGGAAAGATAAATCAAATTTTTTCTGCATTAGTAATCTCCTTCTTGGAAATATTTAATAATGAGTAATGACAGAGTATGACTCAATGAACCAAGCCCTAAATGATGGTTCTTCAATACGGAGAAAATCTACAAGCATATAGTAAAATGTGAGGGACTCTGGAAGGAACATATCATATGGTAAGATGAGGAGAAAAGCTTGAAGATGTTAAATTTTGGAGTTTCACAGCTCATTAATTCATCAGATGTGTTCTATGAGCCAGACACTATACTAGGTGCTGAGATACAAATATTAACAGCGGAAGAGCTCATAGCCTAGGCAAGAAGACTCAAAAACAGAGCACAGACTTAAAAGCCTCTCTTGTAGCTCATTGCAGCCTCAAATTTCTGGATAAAGTAATGCTCTCACCTCAGCCTCCCAGGTAGCTAAGATGACAAGCATGAACCACCATGCCTGGCTGATTTTATTTATTTATTTTTTTGAGACAGATTCTCGCTCTGTTGCCCAGGCTGGTGTGTAGTAGCATAATCTCAGCTCACTGCCACCTCCGCCTCCCGGGTTCAAGTGATTCTCCCACCTCAGCCTCCCGAGTAGCTACGATTACAGGCATGTGCCACTAGGCCCAGATAATTTTTGTTTTTAGTAGAGATGGGGTTTCACCATGTTGGCCAGGCTGATCTCGAACTCCTGACCTCAAGTGATCTGCCCGCCTCTGTCTCCCAAAGTGCAGGGATTGCAGGTTTTGGACTCCTTGTCTCAAGGGAGCCTCCTGCCTTGGCTTCCTAAAGTTCTGGGATTATAGTTGTGGGTCACTGTGCCTGGCCTGACAGCCAATAATTTTTTATTGCTATTTGAAAGAAGGAAAAAAATTATATATACCTTTACTTTATCGTTTGTGGGAATAATATCTTTGTAGATCAAACTTTGGTATTATCCTTCTGCTTCAAGAAATTTATTTGTCTTGTAATGAATGTTTAATTGATGAATTTTCTTTGATTTTGCTTGTCTGAAAAATATTTTCCTTATTCTTAATTTTTAAAATACAATTTGTGACTGTAGAATTTTGGAATAACAATTATTTTTTCTTTTCACAATTTAAAGATGCCACACCATTGTCTTCTAGGTTGCATAATTTCTTATGAGGAGTTTCCTCTAATTCTTACCTTTATTCTTTTGTAATGCTTTCTGCTTTGGCAAACATAGCAATTTGAATATCAAGTATCCCAGTGTTGTTCTTTCCTTTTTTTTGTATTTATCTGGCTTGATGTTTGCTAAACTTCTTGAATTCATGCTTTGATATTTTCATTTTATTTGAAAAATTCTCAGCTACTATCTCTTCACATATTTGTTTTGGCCCATGTTCTCTCTTTGCCTTCTAGAATTGTCATTACATATAAGTTACACCTTTGGGTGATGTTTCACAGCTTGTGGACACACTGTGTCCCCACCCTCAACCACTCTTTTTATTTTTTCCATTGTATTTCAATTTGGGTAATTTCTTGTTTTTATTTCAGTAGCTTTGGGGGTACAAGTGGTTTTTGGTTACATGCATGAATTCTACAGTGCTGAATTCTGAGATTTTAGTGCACTCGTCACCTGACTATTATACATTGTACCCAATATGTAGTTTTTTATTCTTTACCTCCCTCCTACACCCGTGCTTCTGAGTCTCCAAAGTCTATTATATCACTCAGTTTGGGTAATTTCTATTAAACAGTTTTAAAGTTCACTGATTCATTCCTCAGTTGTGTCATGTTGACTGATGAAGTTGTTAGAGGCATTCTTCATCTCTCTTAGCGTATTTTTTATTTCCTATGCGGTAAGCAAAACAATGACCCCTGAAGAAATCCATATCCTAATCTCTGGAGCCTTCAAATGTGTTATACAGTTAATAGGAATTAAGTTTGCAGATGGAATTAAGGCAGCTAAACAAATGAATTCAAAATAGGAAGATTATCCTGGATTATCTGGGTGGGCCCAATATAAGGGTTCTTCAGTGCAAAAGAGGGAGGTAGAAGAGTCGGAGCACTATAAGCCAAGTCATTCCTGGCTTCCATGATAAAAGAAGGCATGGAGCAAAAGAATGAAGTCAACCTCTAGAAGTCGGAAAAGGCAGGAACAGTTATTCTTCGCCAAGAGCCCCTAGAAAGCACTATTATCCTGCCAATACCTTGATTTTAGCCCAGAAAGACACATTTTGGATCTGACATGCAGAACTATAAGAGAACACATTTGTGTTTTTAACCAATTTGGTGGTAATTTATTACAGTTACATGTTGTTCATAGTTATTTTGTATTCTCTTAGGGATAGTTTCAATATCTATATCATCTCTGTGTCTAATTCTGTTGATTGCTTTTTTCTATTGGAAGTACTTTCTGTCTTTTTAAATTTTATAATTTTTGATTGATGTTCATAGTGTAAAATGACAATATATTAGACATTGTAGTAAGTAGCATTTATGCCTGGAAATGGGCATGCTTATTCTCTGTTATGCTATTAGTGATGAGGTAGGGAGGATTAAGTCAATCTAGTTAAAGTCAGTCTGGGTTTGCAATTAGCTGTTTCCATGTCTGCCTTCAGTGTACTGCTGTCTTCAAATTCCTCCAGCGTTAACTTGTGCTTGGATTCTGGATAACTTTCCTGAGCATTTTTCTCAATGTTCCTCCCCAACCACAGCTCCAAGTTTGCCTTCATATTTAGACCTAAGAGAGGATCTAGTTTCAGGTTCCTTTTCTTTCCACCAAAGTAGAAATTCCTTGGTACTTGGTGCTTGGTAGCCTGGGCGACAAAGGTGGGGGGATTCTGTTTTCCTTGTTTAGTCACTTTCTTAGGCTCTGTGTCATGGTTTCAGAGGTAGAGTTTCCAAGTGACCCTGCTCATCCCAGCAGTAGGGGAGCTTTAATTTCCTGGGTCCAGGATGGTTTTCTGCAACTCTCTGAGGAGTAGAGAACATTTACTTTTACCCTCCCACCAATCATTGTGAGTCTTCATCTACTCTCTGGTTGATGGTGCTTGTTGCCTTTCTTCAGAGGCAGAAGCTTTTGTTACTTACGGGAGAAGTAACTGGGTGCTGTTTCATTCTCTCCAGCAGCAGCTTCACCATCCTCCAGGACTGCAACAAGTATTCTCCTCTCTTTGATGCTGCTCCTTCTCATGGGCACACAGTAGGTTGTTGGAGGAAAACCTACAGTGGAATATCAACTTTCCTTGGGTCTATAGCTCATTGGTGTTCCATACAATCGCTTTATCTGACTCTCACTCCTTAAGCAATCGAATACAATTTTTAGCTGAATTATTCCTACCCACATGTATTGAGACCTGGTGTTCCACCTTCTTCCATAGGTGATTACTGAAATTCTGTTTCTCCCTGGAGGTGCATATCTTTCCTTAGATGTGGGTAGCTACCCTATTACATCAGCTTTCTGATACGTTGAAGAAAAGTTATCATTCTGTAGATTATACAGCTTTTTATTTTGGTTTGTGTGGGAGTATATGCTAGTATACTATTATATAATATAGTGTACTATATAAAACATATATACATGTAGCATATAATACACAATAATATATGTAATAATATATGTAAATAATATACAATATACTATACTATACTGCAGTCTATTCTGCTGGTGCATTTGTTGTATTTTTTGTGGTATGTTGATGTGCTCGTTTAACATGTGTATTTCTTTATTGTCCAACTATTGCGGTTTTTTTTTTCTATGGCTTGCATGTGTTCCTCAGCTTTGCTCACTGATCCTTTTTATCTCTTATTATTTCTGTTTAGTTTTTACTTTATTTAGGTCTTTTACAGAGAAATTTGCTGACCCTCACCTGTAGGAAAATTTCATTGCTCTTTTCTCATATATTTTCCGTGTATGGATGCCACACAACCCTTTTTATTTATTTTAGAATAAATGATCTATAGAAATGAGTAGGCAATTCCAATGTTGGAAGAGGCAGGTTAGCTTTGTTGATTTTTTAGTTCAAGTGCTCTCTTCTCAGTTGCTATGAAGATAAACTATTGTTTTTAAAAATGTGAAACCTCTGTGCATAATTGTGTATTTCATATTTCAGACCTTTACACATTTCAGAGCCTTCTCAATCAGCCCTGTGTGCTCATTCTTTCACTGGCCACTGTTACCAAGCAGAGTGGCTCCTGTCTTCCCAAGTGATCCATTTGCTTCAGAAACTGTTTTTGTTCGCCTTTTGAGATCTGTCACCGGTGAGATGCTGAACGTTGTATTACTTTTCCTCTCATGTCTCTAAGTATTTTCCCTTTTTTCAATCTCAGCCCATCTCATAGCAGTTCTAAATAAAGTGGAGTGCTCTTATTTTAGAGTGTACATTTTCTGGAAACTTACGACATCTTCCTCTACTAGACCCTTTCTCTTCTTCAAATTCTTTTCTGACTCAATATCACTGCTTTGGTTTATTGCTTTATGAGTTCTTACCCAGCCCTGATGGTCTTAATAGCTTTATATAGCATTTTCATATAGTTCGTATTTTTTGTTTTTTTCTGTTCTGTAATTTGGCCAATCAAGCAGTTTGTGGTTTACTATTCACTGTGTGGTTTTCCCTCATTATCATACATGGTTTCCCTGTGAAAAGGCAGAAAAATTCTTAAATAACTTATAAGTTGATCTTGCTGGAAGCTGGTAATATTTTTTAAGTTGTTTTGATCATTACAAAATTAAGAATGGAGTTGCATATGATGATTGATGGTTCGGTGATTCTCAAAACTGATATTAGCAAGCAAAATTTTAGTTAATATTCTTTTCTGTACCTTTTGATATAAAATATGCTGATTACTAAACAGACTGCATTTATGAAATAATCATTCATTGTCAAAGAGACATTTATAAATTTTCAATTAAAGTTCCTAATTAGCATGAACATCATGAGTTACTCTTATTGAATTGATATAGTAATAGACAAAACAAAGAAATAAAGAATTTTAATTAGTGTATGCAACCTTAATGTTGATAAATTTGCATTCTCCTCTTGGTTTTTTAAAATAACAAAAAAAATTTTAAAACACCAATTATAATCAACATGGATAAATTCTGAAGGAATCAGAATCTATGCTGGGAACCATGGAGAAATAACATTTAAATTTTCTGGTTTTTTGAACTTTAATTGCTTTGTAGTTTTTTTTTTAAATCCAATTTGCATAATAAAATATAACTGCATAAATTTCTACATGGTGATATTACAATTAGGAAATTAAAATGACAAATATAAATATTTAAATATTTTACTGATTAAATAAGAAGCTTCTGACAAGAAAAGCAGTTACCACATTGACCAAGCTCATCATCTAGATTTCCATATCACCAGAAATGTCCAGCCTTTTGGAACCTGGTAGTTTGTTTTCCCTTTGACAGAATTTCTCCAAAATAAGTAGTAGCTGTGAGTAAATAAATGAGTTTTGTGTTTATAATTTATTATAACATAATTAAAATCTTAATGTATGAAAATACTAACGTACAAACAATATAGTAAGTATTATATAGTCCCTGTCCATACTAAGTAATGAAACATTACCAATACAATTGAAAACACTGAAGCACTTTACCAAAAATCTTTCTGTTTGTTCTGGGTTAAACAGTAACTTAAATTTAGACTTTATTATTTCCACATAGTTCTGTCTGTACTTACTACATATGTGGGTTTCTTTGATGAATATATGGTATTATTTTTAATGTTTCAATTATATGCAAATAAACTGTGTGCATTCTTTGGAATCTAGATTTTTTTATTATACTAGGATTATGAGATCCATCTTTGTCGAAAAAAATGTAGTGTTGCACTAGTTCATTACTTTTTAAGGTATGAATACAACACAGTATAGTCCTACGCTCAATTCATGATCAATATTTGTGTAGTTTACAGTCATTATTACAGTCAATACTATTATGAATGTTCTTTTTTAAAAAATTCTTTACCTATTTTAGATAGTAGCTATTGTCTATTTTATGTGTGGCAAACATTTTCTGGTTTCTTTCTTAGTTTTACATTTTCTTGAGGAGTGCATTTCTTGGTGAATGTATACTATTAGTTTTTGTGTGGTCAAAATAATCATTCTTATTTGTTACATTTTGCACTTTTTTTATCTTGTTGAAGAGAATTTTCCCTATTCTGAAGACGTATAGGTGTAATTCTATATTTTTGCTTAAAAGTTAATTTTGTGCTTATGTTGGTAATGATTTTTATATCTTGAATTGATTTTTATATCTTGAATATGTCAATATATTTTTCTTTCTTTCCATATTGATACAAGTCATCCCAATATAATTTGTTGAATAGTCCATCCTCTCCCCACTGAACTGTAGTACTATTTTGTCGTTTATAGAGTTTCCATCCATGCATGAGCCTGTTCCTGGGCGTTTAAATCTTAAACCTAAAATAATCAATTCAAAAGTGTTTGGATTTTGTATGTGAACAATAGGCAATCATATTGTCTACTCCTAATGGCATTTTCTTTTGACCTCTGCAATACCAATACTTTTCGTTTCATTCTTTTGTTTCTCTGTAGTTGCTAATACTGCCAACATTTTGTTAAACATGAGCAGGAATTCAATTTGGTAGTAATATTTTTTAACACTTTACTGGATTTTTTCCAGAAATTATTGTTTTAAATATTTATATCTATGTGAAAATAAAATTTTGTGGAATATTATTTTTAACTGCCATTGTCCAATTATGGTACTAAAACTAGTCTTGATTTTTTAAGTTATTTAGAAAGTATTCTTTTTCCTCTGTTTTCCAGGGGAATTTTTGTAATATTGGTATTTTATTTCTCATGGGACTTGAGTAGAACTATTGATATTTTATTTCTCATGGGAGTTGAGTAGAACTATTGATATTTTATTTCTCATGGGAGTTGAGTAGAACCTGTAAAACCATCTAAATTTAGTGTTGATTTGCACTTTCAATGATTGAGCTTTTGGATAATAAATTTCTTTAATGATTACGGGAACAGTCAGTGATATTTTTCTCATATATCAGTTTCTTTGTTATCTTTTTCAGAAATATGTCTATATTGATCAAATTTCAAATTTATCACAAATATTTTAATATTTACTTGCTCTTAAAAAATAACTCATGTTATTGGTTACTTCTGTCACCTTAAATTTTAAAGACATTACTTTTGTCTTTTTTAAAAAATTAATCATGCCGGATATTGCGTATTTACTAAATTTTATGTTGTTCTTTTAAAAATATTTTTTGTTGGATGTTTAGCTCATATATTATTTCTTTATGTTCTAATATAAACATTTAGGAAAACAGCTATCTATCTATATTACATATGTATCTATAATTTTAAGGATTTTTTAGGTACTGCTAAAATTTTCTTTTACCAACCTTGAATTTAGTGTCATTTTTATCATTATTGCTTTCTCTATTTTCAAAATTTCTGTTAATGTTACATCTCAATCTATGAGCTATTTAGCTTTCTAAAAAGTATTTCCCATATATGGAGGTTTTCCTTAATTCAATATTAAATTTACTATGTTGAGAAAATGTGGTTTGTTCCTTTTACATTTATTGTCATTAATAAGATTTTAAAAATAACTTCTATTATTTTATTTTATGCATGGTGTTTTTCTTACTTTTCCTGTGTTTCTTTTTGTGTTTTTTTGGCCTGAATTTTATTTTGTTCTTCATTTATTTTGTTTTCTCTCCTAATCTTTGAGAACTACATTGCTAATTCAATTTCGTCAGTGTTTGTTCTTAAGTTTTTGTTATGTGTGCATAAAATCAAACATTAATCATTGTTTCTTTCTCCTCCCACGCAATCTAAATACCTTAGACCACTGTAACTCTATGCTCGTCTATCTCACAAGTTTCTGACATTTCAGGCCAATATATCTTTTAATTCCAGAATTCAGATATTATGATTGCTATAAAGAGTCAATTATTTTTTATTCAAAATCTATTTGCTAATTTGTTTCTGTTCATTATTTCTCCCATTTCAGATCATCATTGTAGCATCATTTTCCTTCTTTTTGAAGCATATCTTTTAAGTTTCCTTAATGTCCATCTGTTAGGGGTAAGCCCGAAGTTTTTATTCAAAAATTTATTTATTTTTACTTGGTTTTAAATGATTACTTGGCATTGTGTACAATTTTAAGTTTATAGTTATTTTCTTTAAGTAATTGGGATGTGTTATTTCTTATCTTCTGACTTCTTCTCTTCTGCTGGTAAATCTGCTGTTAGGCCAACTATTCTTTTTGTGGCTTATCACTCTCCTTCTGTCTGTGGCTCAATTTTTCTTCTACTCTCAAGATTTTTGACTTTGATGTCTTGCAGTTTCATTACACTGTGGTTTAGTATAGAATTTTTTTTTTATTTATATTGCTTGGATTTTTTATGTCTCTTTTTCAAGTCTTGTTTCTGTTTCTCTAATATTCTTTCAATTCTAATTTTATGTTCAACTTAAAGACAGATTTTATTTCAATAGAATTAGGTATTACAAGATGTTCTAAGCAGTCATTTTTCAAATCAGTCTGCTTTTTAATTTTTATTGAACCTTATTACTTGTTTATCTTGTTAATGTTCTCATGTATTTCTTCATATTTTAAAACCCAATTTAGTTTATATCCAGATCTGTGGCTATTCATTGTTTCATCTGACCCTTATTCGTGGCGAATTGTTTGTTATGTATTTATAATTTTAAAAAATTTTGAATACATCTTCCAGATTACCCAGGTTTGTAGTACACTTGAAGAATGTGTACATTGACTTTCTTGAGGAAACCTTTCTCTAGAAAAGATTTGCTTTTGCTTCTACCGTGTGCTTAAGATGCCAGGAATATGTGATCACTTTAAATGATTTTATTGAATTTTTGTATAAATTTGAACCCTATGACCCAATGATGTCAGGTTTAGGGCTACAATTTCTCAAGAAAACATCCTATTTCTTTTCTTCTCACTTGACTGTAATGCCTGTGGCTTGTAAGTTACACTGTAGAGTCCTTTTCCGGTGGGAAGACATTTGCTAGCTCACTTTTTCATTGAAGGCTCCTGGATTTGGTCAGCAGAACCTCTTTTATTTCACTGTTTGGAGTGAGCCCAGCATCTTGTCTCCTTGGCGTCAAGTATTCTGATCATGGTCCTCTCTTTAGCCAAAGGTCTTCAGATAACAAACGAGGGTGTCATTGCCAGCTTGTCACTGTGGATTCCAGTTTCCAGTGCTTTTGTTTGTAGCCCCTGGAATTTATTTTCTTTCTTGTGAGCACTGATATACATGAGTTTTATTGAATTATATAGAAAATTTTCAGTAGGTTGGAGAGGAAAAATGCGTGAATCTGAGGTTTGTTATATTGTTGTGAGTGGAAGGCCATTGTGAAACTTTAGAATTATCAACATTATTTCAGGAATAAAACTGATAACATTTAAAAACCAGCACAGACCAATCAGAATGGAAGCAGGCCTTAAACAACTTTAAGCCATACAGTTTAATACCAGGTAAATTTCCTCCCCACTTGCCCTTTAAGTCCTTTTTATAAGAATAAGTGAGTGATCGAGGTAGTCACCTCACATCATCTTCATCAAAATGATACTAATGTTTTCAGTCTTAAAAACTGTTATAAATTTAATATTCAGCTGCAAATTAAACATTCACTTCTTTATAAAGATTAAAATTATTTATATTCACTGAAAACAAAGATTGGTTGTAAACTATTTCTAAATGCTATTTTTAATCCATATAATTTGTTGAACAATTTGATTCTATACTCACAGGGGGCATGTCCTAATTCATAACAGGAACCATTTATGGAGTTTTATTTTGTGCCAGGAGTTATGCTACACAGTTGATTTCTGTAACACTCACAAGAACCTTGCACATGGTAGGTTTTTTTTTTTTTTTTTTTTTTTTTTTTTTTTTTTTTGAGACGGAGTCTCACTCTGTCGCCCAGGCTGGAGGGCAGTGGCGCGATCTCGGCTCACGGCAAGCTCCGCCTCCCGGGTTCACGCCATTCTCCTGTCTCAGCCTCCTGAGTAGCTGGGACTACAGGCGCCCGCCACCACGCCCGGCTAATTTTTTTGTATTTTTAGTAGAGACGGGGTTTCACCGTGTTAGCCAGGATGGTCTGGATCTCCTGACCTCGTGATCCTCCCGCCTCCACCTCCCAAAGTGCTGGGATTACAGGTGTGAGCCACCGCGCCTGGCCACATGGTAGGTTCTTAACATCTCCAGTTAGAAGTTTTGTAAACGTGAGTCAAAAGAAATTAAGGAACTGGCTGAATGAAACAGTTCATGAGTTCAAGCCCAGATCTTCTAACAACAACTGGTTGTATCAGGCAATGTCACTTATTGAAAAGGACTGGAATCAGACTGGACTTCAAATTCTACCACTGTTCATTTCTAGCTAAGTCACCATACTAAGAATACTCTGCACAATATTGCTACTTATGGTTATTTCATATTTGTGACTTTTGTTAAGTAAACTTTTTACAATAGAGTTTTCAGATTTAAAACAATTTGTTTAAGTGTCAGGCTAATATCTATATTCATTTCTGCATAAATAGAAAACATGACAGACATGACTATAATACTGGATTAGGCATTATTCTAATGCTGGGTTATCAGTGTTCCTATGTTAGTTTTTAAGTGTACATGGCAAAATATTATTCTAACAATATTTTAATTTTTCTTCAATGTCTGATTTCATGCAGTTGTTTTAGTCTCAATTTAAATAATTATTTTCAAAAGTGCCTAAGAAGATTTTTAGAAATTGTTAAAGATAATCACTTTAAATGGAAAATCATTTGTTTTTCATTCCATTACTAAGTTGAGTGGATATATTAATGGGGACTAATGGTAAACTTAAAAATCAAGCTTTACAATATGTTTAGGACATTAAATAACAATTTCCAAATATACTCAAACATTTATACATTTTCATAGTCCCATCATTTTAAAGTCATGTTTATTGGGATATACTTTAAACTCAATAAAGGTCAGCAATTTTGAGTGTGTCATGGAATCACTCTGACAAACATATGCAGTCATGGGACCATCCCCACAATCAAGAAATAGAACATTGCCATCACTATAAAAAGTTATCTTGTGCCTTTATGAAGTCAATCCCTTCTTACCACTAGTAGTCACTTCCAACATGGATGTATTCTCCCCTTATAATTTTGCCTTTTCCAATATCATATACATAGAGATCATATTTATATTTATCATGTTGTCTTCTGTGTCCAGCATCTTTCATGTGATCTTGAGACTCATTAATATTGTTGACTGTATCAATGGTTCAGCACTTTAAGTGTCTGGATAGTATTTCATTGTACGGATTTACTCAATTTGCTTATCTGTTCACCTATTGAACATTTGTGTTGTTTCTAGATTTGGGACAGTGTTAACAAAGCTACTACAAATATTTGTGCACAGATTATTTTGTAGGGAAATATGTTTTTATTTCCCCTGGGAAATCCTATATCAAGGAATAAAATTGGTGGGTCATATGGTAAGTGTATGTTGATTTTCACAAAAATCTGCCAATCTGTTTTTTAAAAAAACAGCTGCACCATTTTGCATCCCCAATTCCTACACAAGCCTGCCAGCATGTGGTACTCTCAGAATTTTAATTTTAGCCTTTCTAGTGTCTGTGTAGTGGTATCTTCCTTTGATCCTAATGGCATTTCACTTGTAACTGAAGATATTGAGCATATTTTCATGTACAAATTCCCATTCATATATCTTCTTTGGTGAAGTAGCAATTCAAATATTTTGCCATCTCTTTATCAGATTGTCTGTCTTATTGTTGACTTATAAGAGTTTTTAAATGTATAATAGATAGAACTTCTGTGCCAGGTATGTGTTTTGAAAATATTTTCTCCCAGTCTCTGGTTTGTTTCATTTTCTTAACTGTTTTTAGATAAGTACTACTTTTTAATTCTGAAGCCAGCCAACTTATGAATGACATGACAAACCTTTGCTTACCATATTGTCACAGATATTCCCTCCCATGTTTACTTTTAGACAATTTGTAGTTTTATCTGGTAACTTCAAACATCTAACCCATTTTAAGATAATTTTAGTATGGTATGAGATAAAGGTCAGGGTGTTTTGTTTTTGCATATAGCCTTCTAATTTTCCAACTAAATGCAAATGTTTGCATATTGCAACATTTGTGGAAAAGGTTATCATTTTCCCTTTGAATTCAGTTGGCATGGTTATAAAAAATCAATTGGCCCTGTATAGATGTGCCTGTTCCTGGTACTTCTGTTCTATTCCATTTTTCCATATGTCTATTCTTAGTCAACATTCCTTTTAATACTGTAGCTTTCTAGTAATTCTCAAAATCATGTAATGTAAGTCCTCAAACCTCATTCTTCTCTTTATTTTGAGACAGAGTCTTGCTCTGTTGCTCAGGCTGGAGTGCAATGGTTCAATCTCGGCTCACTGCAACCTCTGCCTCCTGGGTTCAAGTGATTCTTCTGCCTCAGCCTCCCTAGTACCTGGGATTACAGGCATGTGCCACCACGCCTGTCTAATTTTTGTGTTTTGATTAGAGACGGGGTTTCACCATGTTGGCCAGGCTGGTCTCAAACTCCTGACCTTAAGTGATCCACCAGACTCACTTTCCAAAGCATCGGCATTGCAGGCGTCAGCCATCGTGCCCAGCCTTCATTCTTCTTTTTCAAAATGCTTTTGGCTATATATTCCTTAATCTTTCATATAAAATTTTGAAGTCACCTCATTTACTTTCTATTTTAAGAAAGCATGCTGTGATTTTGATCACTATTATGTTAAATCTATTGGTATATTTGAGGTAAGTTGGCATCTTAACAAATTTGATTCTTCTGATCCCTGGAACACAGGATAGTTCATAATTTATCTAGTACTTTATTTTCTCTCAGCAATATTTTATAATGTTTAGAAGTCTTATGCATATTTTGTTAAATATATTCTTAAATATTTTCTGGGTTTGATGCTACTATAATTGGTATGTTTTATATTTCTATTTTGAGAATCGCTTTACTAATATATAGGAATATAGTGAAACTTTGTTTATTAAATTTGTTTTTTGTGACCTTGCTAAACATACTTAAAAGTTTTAGCAGGTTATTTCTAGAAATTCTTTTGGGAGTTCTTCATAAATTATCATGTTTCCTGAGAATATATAGATTTTTATTTTATTTCCAAACTGCATACCCATTATTTCTTATAATTTAATATTTCTTACCTTACAGCAACTGGCTAAGTCTAGTACAAGGTTAAATTGGTGTAATGAGGACAGCATTCTTGCCTTGTTCACACTCTTAGGTGGAAAATATTCAGTCTTTTATCATGAAGTATAATGTTAGATACTGGTTCCTTATAGAATCTTCTGACTTTCATCAGGATGGAGAGGTTGTCTCCATTCCTAGTTTGCAAAAACTGATTATCATGAATTGGTGTTGAATTTTGCAAAATGCTTTTTCTGCCCCCATTAAGAAGATTTTTAAAAATTCTTGATTAACTTGTTGTATGTTATGGTTTATTATACTAATTGACATTTGGATATTGAAATTAACTTTCATTCATGGCATATATCCAGTATGGTCATGGTAAATTATCCTGTTTACATATGGCTTTTTATTTCCTAATATGGTAATTTTTATGTGCATGAGACATATTAGTCAATACTTTTTTTTGCAAACACTTTGTTTTGCTTCGGTATTAGGATAATTGAAGGACGCCTAAAATTTATAAGGAAGATTTTTTCCTCCTTTTTATTTTTTGGAAGAGTTTGTATAGGGTTGGTATTATTCCCTCCTTAAATATTTGGTAGAACTAATCAGTGAAGTAACCTTGGCCAAGATACTTGTCAGAGGATTTTAACTAAGAAATTAATTTCTGTACAGGATATAAAGTTTTATATTCTTTTTTGAGTAAGGTTTGATGATTTGTGTTTTTCAAGTATTTGTTCACTTCATCAAAATTATCAAGTTTACTGACAAAGAGTTCATCATAACATTCTCTTATCCTTGTAATGTCTGTAGCACATGCAGTTAGCCACCTCCTTCATTCCTCTCACAATTACTGAGAGGGGAGATTGATGTTCTCATCTGTAATTGTAGATTTTTCTGTTTCTCTTTTTAGTTCTATCAGCTTTTACATTGTATATTTTGAATTTTGAATTTTTGCTGCATTCATATTTAGAATTGTTATGTCTGGTTGGGAAATTGATGTCTGGACATGTAGAATTTCCCTCTTCATCCCTGGTAATGTTTCTCATTCTGATATTTAGCTTGTCTGATACTAACAGAGCCTCTGCTAATTTCTTTTGCTTAGGATTTGCACAATGTAACTTTTTCTATCCTTTAACTTGTAACTCATGTATACCTTTCTATTTAAAGTATATTTCTTATAGAAAAATATAGTTGGATATTACTTCTATATCCAATATTACTATCTTGTCTTCTAGATGGGGCATTTAGACCTTTTGTATTAATCTAATTCTTCATGATGGTTGAGAATTGACCCGCCATCTTGCTATTCATTTTCTATTTTCTCTAAATGTAATTTATTCCTTTTGCCCTTTTTCCTGCCTTATTTTGAAATAATTAAATATATTTTATGATTCATTTTTATTTATTTTATTGGCTTATTGATAGAACTTTTTATTGCATTATTTTTCAATTGTTTATCTCTAGGGCTTATATACTTTTTTTTTTTTTTTTTTGAGACGGAGTCTCGCTCTGTCGCCCAGGCTGGAGTGCAGTCACACGATCTCGGCTCACTGCAAGCGCCGCCTCCCGGGTTCACGCCATTCTCCTGCCTCAGCCTCCCAAGTAGCTGGGACTACAGGCGCCCGCCACCACTGCTGGCTAATTTTTTGTGTTTTTAGTACAGACGGGGTTTCACCATGTTAGCCAGGATGGTCTCGATCTCCTGACCTCGTGATCTGCCCGCCTCGGCCTCCCAAAGTGCTGGGATTACAGGCGTGAGCCACCGCACCCGGCGGGGCTTATATACATTTTTAAATGATCACAGTCACATATAAAAAAAACCTCTTCACATAATTTCTAAGAAACTTCCCAATATATGGTTTCATTTCCTCCCCACTTCCTTGTTTTTGTCATACATTTGAACTCTACATATTGTAAATCCTGCAAAGCATTATTATTAATCTTTAGACATTTTTCTTTAAAAGGTATTATAAATAAAAAAAAGGTCATTCATATTTGCTCACGTTTTTCGTATTTCTGTTTCTCTTTATTTCTTTCTGTATTTCCACATTTCCATCTTATATTATCCTCTTATGGACTTCATTAAAATATTTTTTAATTTAGATATGCTGGCCACAATATCACTCATGATTTGATTTTCTGAAAAAAGAAAAAAAAAATCAAAACTCTTTGCTTTAACTTTTAGAGGATATTTTCACATGTTGTATAAATTTGTAGATTTTCAGGTTTCTCATTTGGTACTTTAAACACGTGACTCTATTCTCTTGTGATTTGCATCAGTTCTGATGACAGCCTGATGTCTTCTCATCTTTGTCTCTCTCTGTTGGTACTTTTTTGTTCTTCTTTGATCCCTGGATGCCTTCAAAATGTTTCTTCTCTTTGATTTCTAGTAGTCTGATAATGATAAATTTAGAGTTTTTCTTTAATCCTGCTAGTGGTTACTTGAGATTTTTGGATCTGTGGTTGGTTTCCTTTCATTACATTTGTCTATTTCTTGGTCACTATATCTTCAATGTTTCTTTTGTCCCACTTTCTCTTCTCCTTTTGAAATTCCAGTTACATGTATATAAGACCTTTTGACACGGCTCTTGGATTTTTGTTCCATTTTATTCCTTCTTTCTCTCTGAGTTTCAATTTGAAAAATTTCTATTGACCTGTCTTCAGCTTCCTCCATTTTCTTCCTCTAGGCACATCAATTTGGTGTCTAGCTTTCTGGCATGCCTGTCAAAGGAATTCTTTATCTCTGACATTGTCTTTTCTTTCTTAGCGTATTCAATGGACACATTTTAATCGCCCTTCTCTCAATGCTCAGCGTGCCTATTTGTTCCTAATTATTTCCCCACAGTAGACTGCTGTTGTTTGTTACTCAATGAGAGGCTTCTGGGGGGAAGTCTTTTGGGGGAGGGGGAAGGTGCCATTGTCCGGTCCATCCTTAGTCATCGTCAGGCCTTGTGCTTCTGAACTTCAGAGGTGGGGCTTTCTCGCCATCCTGCCTCCCCGACAAGGTGCCAGTCTCTGCGGCATGTCAGTGGGGGTGCTTGAGTACAAGTGTCTTTTTGTTCTTGTCTAGTGTCAGCTGAAGTCTCCTTTGTTTCAGAGCAGGGCTGTGTCCATGAGTGTGTTTTCCCCACACCTCTCCTATTAGCAGATCAACATTACATTGTGAATAACAGATGGAGACGTGCAGGTTTTCCACCCTCCCCTGAAGCTCCTGGCCTTGGCCTAAGACTAGATGGCAGCAGCATTTCCTGGCTGTCCCCAAGCAGCACATGGCATTTGCTTCCTATGAGAGAAGAGTCCACGGTGTTGACAGTTCGGTGTCTGTCTCCTGCAGTAGCTGCTCACCATCTGTGTGTCTGGGATGGCTCTGGGCTTCAGTCTTCCCCATAAGCATTCAGTGGTAGCTGCAGGCACAAAGGAGCCGGTGAATGGTTGCTGACTCCTTTAGGAGCACACTCTTCCTTTAACCATTTGCTGAAGACATTTTTCTTGCCTGGTATCATGCTTGCTGCTACCACTTCCTCTGCTGCTCCAAAAGAGGAAACAATTTATGTGCCCCTCTGCCCTCTGAGGGGCTTGTCACATATTGGAATCCAGTTCACTTGATTGCTTTGGCTCTCTGATGGGCTGAAATAGTTATAATTTTATAGTATTTCTGGCTGCTACTCATTGTTAGAGTGGGAGCAAAGTTCTACTGCAGTTTTCTACATCCAAAGTGAAACTGAAACCATGCAATCTCACTTTTAGAAGGTATAAGCACAAGAATGCCTAAATAGCACTATTCTAAGGAAACTGATTTACATTAAAAGTGATGGCTTTGACACAGTTCCACATTTTTTGTCTCTTCAGAATAAATCAGGCAAAAGAATTGTTCTCTGCGACGCACCTCAAGTTAAATTTCTTTTGAGTTGAATATGACCAACTTTTTAAAACTTCCTTTAGTTTGATTTATTACATACCTGGAATTTTTGATTTTTAAATCTGTTCTCTTAACTTCTCTACTGGTCTTCTTTCTTTTTGTCTAAATTTCAACTTTCAACCACCCATTCACATCAGTGTATTACCATATATCTTCTAATTGTGTTGAATCAAATCCTGTAGCATGTACAAATTACTGTAGATGAATGCCACAGCTTCTCATGGGAACAAACTCAAAGTAAATATAAAGAGACATAATGCATTATGTTCCCCTTAAAGCTCCTGATTGATTTTGAAAAGGTTGTGGGCATGAGATCCAATGACGATTTTCATTGTTAGTGCCATATGTTAAAAATGGTATAGAAATGTTCATTTTGGAAAGAGCACACAAAAACGAATTGGCTGGGCTCAGTGGTACACACATGTAGTCCCAGCTACTTAGGAGGCTGAGAAATTGGGAGGCTGAGATGGGAGGATTGCTTGAGCCCAGGAGTTTAAGGCCAGCCTGGGCAACACAGTGAGACCCTGTTTCTAAAAACAAAAGAAAACATTGATATTTCTATACTATAAATTAACATTTGGCAACTAAAACAAGATTAAAAAATAAAAGTTACTGCGTAACATCAAAGGGAGGAATGGAGTGAACCAATGTTGTTAGATTCAAAGGCAATATGTACATTCTGTCACATGCAATGCAAAAGATGCATGGAGTTTGTGAGGAAATGCATAATATAACAATGTATTTTCAAAATTTACTACGGGGTTTGCAATTTCTTGATAACAAGAAGCATTGGAATCTGCAACTTGCAGGGGCATTTTTTTGTGTTTTTCTTACTTTTGAAAAGGAGGTGAGAATTTTTAAAAATAAAGTGGCATCTTGTCATTATGACTCGAACTTTGTGTGTATTTAGTATTTAGTCACGCCTAAATTGATGTCAGCTAAAGGTTATTTGTAAAAACACAATTCTTGACTGTTTTTTTCATTTTGTTCCATTAGCCTACCATTAGAAACATAATTTATAAATGCATTCACTGGTACTTTTAAATAATACATGAAGATCCAACAACAGTACTTGAATTTTTAGGAGTTGAGCTATTTTTTAAGCTCTTTTTTTTCTTTTAAAAAAAAAACACTTCTGGTATAGTAAATTCTTTCTTGTTTCTTAGGTGTTTTATAAACTTGTTTACAAAAATATAGCACAGAATATTAGGAAATATCTTGGAAGTTTTATAAAAGCAATCATTTATTTTTTAAGTTTTTATTTACTTTCATTTTTTCAGGGTGTGTGGATGTGAAAACAATAAGGATATTTTTTATTAATACTATTTTTTAAAATAATGAGCACTCACATAGAAAATTATTGTGAATATTAATTTTCTTATATATTTGCATGGAAGCATTCTATTTCTGGAAATTTCCTTATTGTTTTAGATGACAAAGTACATTTTTGTGAGATACATGAATTAAAACAGTTTAGGCAATTCAACATTATGTGAGATTTCATTAAACATAAAGATCTCTGAATAATATCTCATTTGGGCCATGATGATTTATAAAAACTTAATACCATATTTGATAAATCATGTGAACTTGAATTATTAGTGACACAGCTCTTTGGATAAAGACTTGAATCATAAAGTTAACAAAAGCATGTAAACTGACACTATTGAAAAAGATATGCATTTTTTGGCTCATAATCTCAACTGTGTTTTACTTACATGTACATAAAGTGACTATCACTCTTTTCTCTACGATCAATGTATTCTCTACCCTGAGTGAGAGTTTGTATGCAAGCAAGAATGTACTAGAAAACATCCTGCTTTTGAGCACTAAGACATTTTTCTGACCTCTCTTCCTATGTTAAAGGGGATATCATTTTGAAGCAGTTTGGTTTCCTGTTTGGGTTTGTTTTATTATCATTAGCTTTGACATTACTCCTTAAAATTTATAATGTAGAAATCCTTTCCATATCAGCTATTAGTTAAGCAAATTTTCTTTCCTTGTTTTAAAAGTTTATATTGAAATGCATTTAAGTTAACAAAAATTTGCAAAAATAGTACAGTGACTTCTTATATACTATTAGCAATGTATTCCGTTTTCCGTTGCTTTGTATCCTCTCCAGTGAATTGGTTTGGCAGCTTCTTCTTTTGTAATTTGTTTTGCTTTTTGTTTTTAAATTAAACATTCTAATCAATGCTTAGTGATATTTTATTTTGATTTTGATTGCATATCCTTAGTGACTAATGATGTGAGACATCTTTTTATATTATTGCTTACAATTAATATACTTTATTTGGTTAAATATTTTTTAATTGGGTTGTTTGGCTTTCTGTTGTTGATTTTTGAGAGTTCTGTATAGATTTTAGATATGAATTCTAGATTAGAGATGTGATTTGCAAATGTTTTCTTAGTCTGTGGCTAGTTTACTCATGCTATTATGTCTCTTTTGCAAAACCAACACTTTAAATTTTGTTAAAAAACAGCTAATACGTTTTTTAAAAAGTTATGCTAAGCACTTATGCAGTCATATTTGAAACCCCTTTCCCTTGCCCAAGGTTATCTAATATTTCTCCTGTATTTTCTTCTAAAAGTTTTGTAGTTTTATGTTTTACATTTAGGCTTATAATTCATTTTAAAAATTGTATTAATATGAGGCAAAAATTAAGAGGCTTTGTTTGTTTGCTTGCTTTCTGTTTTTTGGGCTTCTGGACTTCTAACTTTCCAGCATTACTTTTTGAAAGAGTTATTACTTCTCCACAGAACTGTCTTTGGACATTTGTAAAAATCAATTGACTATTTCTGTATCTTTCTTTGTGGACTCCCCATTCTGTCTAAATGATCTAAAATCTATTCTTACCCCCAATATCATACTGTCTTGATTATTGTAACATTCAAATAGCTTTGAAATCTGATGATAGAAGTTCTCTAATTTTGTTTTCTCAAAATTTTTTGGGGTCCTCTTTATTTTTTATACCGAGATCTTAGCATTTGCTTGTTGATATGTTCAAGTCAGGCTGCTGAGGTTTTCCTGGTATTTCATTGAAGTTGATCAATCTATATCTCAATTAACATTGAAGAAAATTTAGTCTTTCAATACATGGACACTTAGTATCTAGCTCCATTTATTTAGTTAAAAAATTTTTTTTCTACAGTTTTATATTTTACAATATAAATACTCATATTTTTTACCTCAATTATTTATTTTATTTTTAAAGTTATTTTAAATGGTTGTTTTTGAATTCAAATTTCTATTATTCATTACTAGTCTCTAGCAATTTCTTTTTGTGTACTGACCATGCATCCTAAATCCTCGAAAAACTTTGGCTTCTTTTGTAGCTATTCCATTGAATTTGAAATAGGCAGTTATCATCTAGAAACAGAAACAGTTTTATTTTCCCCTTCCTAATTGATATGCCTTTTATTTTTTTATTTGTTTTACTTGCCTTAGGGCACTGGTTATGATTTGCAGTCTGTTGAATAGGAGTGGTGAGATTAGTAGCCTCGTGCTGTCTCAGGAAACAATCTTTCACCTGAGTGTGATGTTAACTATAGTTTTTGGAGATACCTGTCAGATTAAGGAAGTTTCCTTTTAATCTTTGTTTGCTGAGATTTTGTTTTTTAGTATTAAAGGAGAATAAATTTTGCCAAATGCTTTTCATATCTTAATTGAGATGATCATTTGTTTTCCCTTTATGCTGTATTCTCTTACCATGGTGAATTTCATTGATTGTTTTTTTAAAGTATGAATTAAGCCTTGCACACCTGGGATAAATGTAGTTGGTTAAGATTAATATTCTTATATATCACTGAATTCAATTTGCTAATATTTTGTTGAATTTTTGCATGTCTACATTTATGAGTGTCATTGGTTTGCAGTAACCTTTCCTTATAATGTCTTTGCTTTTAGTTTTGCTATGATCTAAAAAATGGCTTGGGAAGTATTCTCTCCCTTCTTACACACTGATAGAAATTGTGTAAATTTGGATTTAAATATTTGAGAGAATTAAACAGTGAAACAATCTGGGCTTAGGGCTTTCTTTATTGGAATGTTCTAAGGTATAATTTGTAATTCCTTAGAATATATAGGACTATTAATCTATTTCTTTTTGAGTGAGTTTTGGTCATTTGCCTTTGCCCTATTAAAATTCTTTTATCCTTCTTTTGATATCTATGGTGTCTGTAGTTTTGTTTCCACTTTTATTTTTGTTAATGGTAATTTGTATCTACCTTTATTTCATAGTCAATCTGTCTAGTTTTCCCAATTGGTACATAATTTCAGATTCAGCTTTTGCTTTCATTCTTTTTTATTGTGTTTCTGTTTTCCTTTTATTAATTTCCAGTTATGTTTATTATTTCCTTTTGTCCACTTACTTTGGATTTGATTTGCCTTTTTGTTTCTAGTGTCATATAGTAGAAGCACAGATTTCTTATTGGAGGCCTTTGTTTCTAACATAAGCAATTAATGCTATACATTTCTCTTTAAGGACTGCTTTAGCTATATATCACACATTTCAATGTGTTGTGTTCAGTGTGTTAAGTTCAAAATATTTCAAAGTTTTGTTCCATATTTCCTTTTTAATTTAAGTTTCACTTAGAAGTATGCAAGTATGTTTTACTTTAATCACCAGCTATTTGGGGATTTTTTTTTTTTTGCTATCTCTTGTTATTAATTTTTTGTTTAATTCTCTAATGATCCAAGAAGACACTTTACATTGTTTCTAGACTTTTAAATTTTCTGCGGCTTGTTCTATGGCACTGTACAGAGTGCAGATCCAAAACCCAACACACCCTAAAGCTGCTGACCATGATCAAGCATAGTGCTCAACACCAGGGTTATGTAAATTAGTTTCCTCCTTCATTAATGTTTTCTTTATACTACCCAATTGGCAACTCTTGCTGGAAAACCTAAGGGAAAACACCCATGGACCTTAATACAGCCACAGTCCCATAGGTCCTCTCTCTCTCTGGCTCTCACTCTCTCATTTTCTCTCTCCTCACTCACTGGCTGAGCTCTCTGCCAGCCTCAGCCTTTCTATTGGCCTCCTGTCAGTACTCCCATCTCTGTGAGACCCATGAGTAATACATTTTGTCTGCTTCATGCATTTTGATTTTACTTTCTCATTGTGTCTCATGTGACACACGCTCTGAACCTAAATCTCTCAACAGAGCTCTCTTATGTAGTGCCGATCTTAGCTTATGGTTGTCTTCAAGAGAATGCTCCATATATCCTCAGAAAGTATGTGCATTCTATCATTTTGGGGTAGTGAGTTCTATAAGTGTCATTAGTCAATTTTGTTGACAGTATTTTTTTTTCTTTTCTGTAATACTGAGTTTTTATTTGTTCTATTAATTATTGAGAGATGATATTCAAATCTGTAACTATAATTGAAGGCTTGCCTATTTCTTTTATTTTCTTTTTCTTTTTTTGAGACAGAGTCTCACTCTGTCATCCAGGCTGGAGTGGAGTAGTGCAATCCAGCTCACTGCAGCCTTGACCACCGGCCTCAGCAATCCTCCCACCTCAGCCTCCCAGGTAGCTGGGACTACAGGTGCACACCACCATGCCTGGCTAATCTTTTTGATTTTTTGTGGAGACAGAGTTTTATCGTGTTGCCCAGGCTAGTCTCCAACTCCTAGGCTCAAGCCATCTGCTCACTTCAGCCTCCCAAAATGCTAGGATTACAGGAGTGAGCCATTGTACCTGGACTTGCCTATTCCTTTAATCAATTTTTTCATGAATCATGAAACTTTGTTTTTAGATGCATGCACATTCAGGATTATAATAAATTCTATATTTTTAAAATTATGCAATGGTAATTTTTTTCCTGATAATATTTCGTGGTCTGATGTCAACTTAAAGCTACATTTATTAGGTTAGTATTTGCATGGTATGCATTTTCCTAGACTTTTAATTTTAGCCTATGTCTTTATATTTAAAGTAAGTTTCTTTTAGACACATGAGTATTGCTTTTTAATCCAATTTGACAATCTTTATCTATTAGTTGTGTTTAAATTATTCACAAATGAATATTTATATATTTTTATTAAGATATATTACCTTACTCTTTTCTATTTTCTATGTTCTTTGTTTTTATATTTCTGTCTTAATTTGATTCAATTGATCATCTTTTATAATTACTTTTTTCTTCTATATTAACTTGTTTTGTATGTCTTTTTGTAAAATGTATCTCATGACTGCCTTGAGGTTGATAATATAGATTTTTAACTAATAAAATTCTACCTTCAAATCGTTTTTTACTGTTTCATATATGCCTCATTATATAGTTTTCTCTCATCTTTTGTGTTATGATTGTCTTATATTTTAGTTTTAAATCTGCTTTAAACACACAATACCTAATGATAGCTATGTATTTAGTTTGGGTAGCGAAATACCTTTTAGAACAAGTGAAACATTAAAATAATAAAATAAAAAATTAACCTCTATTTATTACATTTTCAACACTTTTTTTTGCATAAATCCAAAGCTCACTCCGGTATTACAGTGTTTTTTCAAAACATTCTTTTAATATATTAGCAGTGTACGTCTGTGGGAAATTCATTATCTTGATTTTTAAATTCTGAGAAAGTCTTCATTTTCCTTTATTGTTGAGGAACATTTTTGCTGAGTATAGAATTATATGTTGACTTGGTTTTTCTTTTACTACTTAAAAATTATCACTCAATTACTTTCTGGATTTCATGGTTTCTTTTTTTTTTTTTTTTTTTTTTTTTTTTTGAGATGAAGTCTTGCTCTGTCACCCAGGCTGGAGTGCAGTGGTGTGATCTCGGCTCACTGCAAGCTCTGCCTCCTGGGTTCACGCCATTCTCCTGCCTCAGCCTCCTGAGTAGCTGGGACTACAGGTGCCCGCCACCAAGCCTGGCTAAGTTTTTGTATTTTTAGTAGAGACGGGGTTTCACCATGTTAGCCAGGATGGTCTTGATTTCCTGACCTCGTGATCCATCCACCTCGGCCTCCCAAAGTGCTGGGATTACAGGTGTGAGCCACTGCCCCCGGCCTTCATGGTTTCTTTTAAGTAGTATCCTATAATTTGTTCCTCTTTATGTAATGTGTCTCTTTTGTCATTTTTGTCTTCAGAAATTTTTCTTTGTGTTTAATTTTCAGAAACACAATATTCATAAAATATAATATTTCTGAATATATCGTTCCTGGGTGGGATATTATTTTGTTTATTTATTTGTTTTTTGTTTATTTGGTGTTTATCTTACTTTGTGTTCTCTGGTATTCGTGGTTCTATAGATTGATGCCTGCCGTTAATTTTGGTGCTTTCATAGATAGACAGATAGATAGATAGATAGATAGATTTGTATTGAGATATGTTACCTTGCTTACTGTTTTCTATTTTCTATGTTGTTTTATTTTTATATTTCTGTCTTCTTTGGTTTCAATTGATTATTTTTTTTGAATAATTACTTTTTTCTTCTATAAGAACTTAATTTTTATACCTTTTAAAAAATATATTTCCTGGTTTCCTTGAGGTTGTTAACATATGTTTTTAACTAATAAAATTCTATCTTCAAATTATATTTTACTACTTCATATATAGTGTGTAGACTATCTATCTATCTATGTGTCTATCTGTCTATCATCTATCTGTTCTCTCTATTTTAAGATTTCAGTTAACCATTTATTGAGTCATTCCATATTGTCCCACAATTTTTATATGCTATGTAATTTTTTCTATCCTTTCTAACCTTTAAAATTGAGTTTGGGTAAATTGTATTCATCTATTTCAAGTTCACTGACTTTTTTTTTTCTCATTTTTACTAATGTCATAAATTTATTTAATATAGTTGCTGCCTTAGCATCCATTTTGAGGCCTGACATGTTACTTGAAACTCAGTCATACCCCATCAACTTTGGTCTAGTTTAAACTTCCCTCCCTTTGTTTTCCATGCAGTCTGTTTGTTCCTTATCTCACTGACACAAAACCCAACACACCCCAAAGCTGCTGACTATGATCAAGCATGATGCTCAACACCAGGGTTATGTAAATTAGTTTCCTCCTTCATTAACGTTTTCCTTAAATTACCCAATTCACAACTGCTGCTGGAAAGCCTAAGGGAAAACACCCATGGACCTTAATACAGACACAGTCCCATAGGTCCTCTCTCTCTCTGGCTCTCACTCATTTTCTGTCTCCTCACTCACTGGCTGAGCTCTCTGCCAGCCTCAGCCTTTCTATTGGCCGCCTGTCAGTACTCCTACCTCTCTGAGACCCACGAGTAATAAATTTTGTCTGCTTCATGCATTTTGATTTTACTTTCTCATTGTGTCTCACGTGACACACACTCTGAACCTAACTCTCTCATCAGAGCTCTCTTAGAGAGTGCCTATCTTGGTTTATGGTTGTCTTCAAGAGAGAGACCTCAAGACAAAATACTGCTACAGTTCCTGACACTATAAAAATTGTAACACTGGAGTCTATGATCTTATCAAAGATACTCTTCCTTTATGTTATTGTTTTTCTCTCCAACATTTGCATTTAGTTTCTTTTAATAATATTCATGTCTCTGCTGAAATTTTTCATCTGATCTTGCATTTTATTCACCTTTTCCACTAGAAACTTTAAGACATTAATTATAGTTATCTTACAGTACCTATCAAATAGTTCCAACATGATTGTGTTATTTGAGTCTGGCTTTGTTGATTGCTTTGTCTTTTGGAATTTTTTGTCCATTTGTTTGCCTTTTAAAATTTTAATGACTCATTTTATTGTTACTTCTTTTAGAAGATGAACATTCCCGTGTAGAAACAGATAAATATACTTTGTATTAAAAATGGGTGCTCTTTTTCTTCTACTATTCCTTCAGTGTGTGGAATTTGGATTAATATAATTGGAAATTTGGCGGAGTTTGAGAATTTTTATTGTTTTGTTTACTCTCAGTACATCAGAGGTATCTAAACTAAATGGTAGCTATTTAGTTTAGATACTAAATGCAGGAGGCTGGGAGTACTCTTGGCTTGCCTCTCTTGGCATGGATACATTACAACATGAACTTGGGCAAGAGTGATCAGGATCCCTGTAGTTGTAGCATTTGATGGCCAAGGTAGGGCTTCCATTCCATAAGTAGAAACTGGGTGAAAGAGAGGACTAAACTTTCCCAGGACTTAGACTCAACAACAGGATGTGGGGAAAGGATAAGAGATGCTACTGTCCTGCTCTTCCTAGGAAGAAAGCCCTTCACATGAGTACTGGGAGGACAGGCAACCCTGTATTTTTGGATATAGCATTCTGGAGTGGAGTCTCTGCCTTGTGGGACTGGGAGTGAGGAGCAATGAAGCTGTCTTTGTTCACACAGTCTCTTATCTTTCTTACCAAAATCTCATAGACATTCTTGAGTAGATATTTGCCCTTAGGACCACTTCCAGAGGCATTAAATGGTTGTGTGTGTGTGTGTGTGTATGTATGTTTTATGCTTTCTACCAGCTTCACTAGGGAGTTAGTCATTGTAGCTCCCTAACGCTGTTATACCAGGAGTTGATACCCCCAGAAGTTCTTCTTGGGCTGGTCATAATTCCTGATATGAGTATTTTGACTTACTGTCAGAAAATCAGTGTTCTGGCTGTTAACATTCTGGGATCTGAGAGGAAGAAGACAAAAAAGATTGTTGTCGTCATTTAAAATTGTCAGCATTCCAAATGTAAACATTCATGAACTACCCTTCTTTCAATGTGACACTTCCGTCTCCAACCGTCGCAGAGACTCTCTGTTTTGCTGTCACCCATACACAGTGTTTTCTTAGTTGTGTGGGATTTGGAAAAGGTTTTGAACAAGTTCTTAAAAGCATTTTCAAAAAATACAACTTTTATCTCTGAAATTCACTTTTAATTCCCAAGGCACTTGAGCCCACTAATTTGTGTGTTTTTATGGGGTGGGGAGTATTCATTTACAGTGTAAATTAGATGACTTTTTAGCTTTTCCCAAGGCCAGTTTTTATTTTCCTTCCTGGCTCTGTTATTTCAGTTGCAACTCATAAACTTGTGTTCCAGGTTTCAAAACTAGGTTCTTTCTGTTTTTATAGATTGATGGCTTAAAATATATACTTCTTGTTATTTTAGAGGTTTTGGGAAATATATATATGTTTTAAGCCCATAATCTTTAATATAAAATCTATAATTTATTTAGCTGCTGTCACTGTGCTTATTTTTAAATTTAATCAAATAAAATAACAAACATAAAATAGACATAAAGTTGTTAAAAACATTATTAAAACTGTATAAAAATATGATTTACTTTTCTCTTCAAACTGCATTATTTTCTTGATGGACATCTATATTTTGTTTATATAAATTAAACACTTTCTGTTTAGTTAAACATGGAAAACAAATTAAAGGGCCAATTTTTAAAAATATTAATCTTATTTAAAATTTGAAAATACTTAAAATTTATTGCAATTTATTTGCTCCTTTTTTGGAATTTAACTCTAATTATTGGAAACTAGGACTGCTATACTATGCAGTGGATTCTGTTATTTTAATTATCATATCACATAAATAACTAATTTTGCGTGTAAATTTTGGGCAGCTCACTTTGTGAGCTGTATCATATTTAAAAACTTATGAGAAATAGATCAAAGCCCTGATTTTTACAACTGTATATAAATGATTCTATCCTGGGAAATTAAATAAAAATAAAGTATTCCCCAAATATCTGACAGTAATTGAATCAAATACACCAAACCTTAAATCCAATCTTTAAAATAGATGAACCTCTTTCTCACTGCAAAAGAGAGCTAAACAATGGACCACTCAGCCTCCTTCTTCTCCAAAGGAATGCAGGCACTAATGAGAAAATTCAATGGCACACACTTTATCAATAGTTTCAACATCTAATTTTTTTCTGTATTTCTTTTTGGCAAGGGACAATTACCAGAAAATAATAGTTTTCGGACATTTTTCAAAGCCTTTAGTTAATTAACTTAGACTTCTCCATTTGGAATTCAATTGTAGTCATTACAAGTGGTGCCCACTACTCATGAAAAACAGACTGATTAAAAGATGAGCTATCTGCTGTAATATAAAAATGGCCTGCACGTTGCATATCTAGTAATTTTTCCATTCCTTTGAATTACCAATATCACTGGAAGATCTTCTTATAGGACACTGAAAATGCTCTTTCCATGTCTTCTAATATCATCACAGGAGTTTTCATTTTCTTCTTTGCAATTGTACAGTTGCTTCACGGAAGGTCATCATCTTCAGTTGAAATGCCATACTCAAAGAAGACTTTCCACAAGATCATGAAGAAACATCTAAAAAAGAATGGCAGCACTCAGACCGTGTGTTTCAAGGTCCACGCTAGCACAGATTAATGAACCCTAGAATTACATAATAAAAGAGAGAGATCCTCAGAGATACCCTGATTTTCGTCTTTTATTTGATGAGAAAGGAGTTGAAAGCCCAGGTAGTTAAGTGCACTTTCTGACGTCACTCAGCCTGTCTGTAAAAAGGTGTTCCAAATTATTGCCTGGTCTCTGTCCTCTCAACATACAGCTTTTCAAAAGCCATATTCTATGATTCTCAACAGATTAGAAATCTGTTGAGACTTGCCAAATCTGTATGACTTGCCAAAAATAGGAACAGGTGAAAATATTCTAAAAATGCTCTCATTAATAAAGTTAATTAACTATAATGCTCTGGACCTTCAGAGTTTTAAAGCTAGAAAACTGCTTTTTAAAAAAATTTCTGAGCAGTTTCTGCCTTCTGGTTCATAGATTGGCATTTTACTTTAAGGAGGAGAGTCTTTTTGTTCTGCAAAGTCTGGATTGGTCCCTTTTGGCTGTGACAATTTAAGGATGTTAAATTTGTTAGGAGCCTGATGCTTATAAACTATCAGGGCATAGGGTAAGTGGACCTCCAGCCCAGTGTTCTTATTTCCTTTCACATACTTGGGAGCAATGAGCTCTTGTAGGGTCAGAGTGATGGTGACAGTGATGTCATCCACTTGTGGTTAAAAGTTGTCGGGACATGTCTGAGGGCCCTAGAGGAAAGACGCCCTAAGGGAAAGTGGAGTCTGAATTTGGACTTCCATCTCAGGCAAGTAGAAACTGGATCTTTGCACTTCTGTCTTGCTGGTGCCGGACCCCAGGTTTTTCAGCCACCTCTTTGTGGTGTTTGGACATGTCCCAGAGAAAATGCTGTATGCAAGTGTGCTGAAGTCGCCTGTGAGCACCAAACATGGTGGAACTGATTCCTGTCGCTTTGCTGTGGGGTGCTCTTGACCGAACATGAACTTGAAAGGAACATGATCTACTGAGTGAACGGTCAGCATCTGCAGCAGTGGTCAAAGAACAGGGAGGTCTTGTCAGCAAGACCCATTAGCTGGCCAGACCCTGTCTAAGGAAAACACAGGACATCATGGCTCTCCTGGCACCAGAGCCCACAGTCAGCGTCCTGAGAGTGCTAGAAGTGATTGAGGAAGCCAGCGCTGGGCTTGCTGAGTCAGCAATGTAGGAGTTCTCCACCAGCCCACTTCACTGAGAGCCTTCAATTGGTGCTTAAAAATGAATTCTTGAACACATAGAGGCAGTCCTTGGAATTTCAGGGAGGAGAAGCCCAGAAAAGAAAAAAAAAATTGGCTTCTAGTTCATTTATAAGATGGAAACTATTATCAGAATATGTTGTGTTTTCAGAAAGAAGTGACTGTTTCTTTTTTCCCCCTGGCTGGATGAAGCCTGGGATGCATGTTCTGCAGCACAATGCAACTTCTTTCATCATAGCTTTTCCATGGCAGCATTACCACAGCAAGCGCACATGCTTCCCCAGAGTACATGAAACACTGTGTGCTTTGGCACTGATAGCTGTAAAACCTGGAAATTTGGAAGAAATTGGAAAACAAAACAATTACTGAGCACCTGCCTCATGCTAGTTATTGTTCTGTGTGCGTGGGACACGAGTGCAGGAGAGACAGCAGAGCCCCGTGGTGGAGTAGATTGCGGTTTTTCCTCATCCACATTGGCTGTCCTTCCCTAGGGACGAACCATCCGTTTCCCTTCAGTCTCTTCAGGGAGTGGTTCATGTGACCTTTGATCCATGGCATCTGAAGTCACAGTAGCGTATGTCAAGATTGAGCCCCCACTAGCCTGGATCTCAGAGTGACTTTGATGAGCAAAGTCTCCCTGTTTGATTCCTGCAGGAAAAGGAACCCTGAGTAGGGAGCTGCTGAGATGTCCGTGCTAGTCTGCACAGCCGCTCTGGGCTGATACACTCCCAAAGCAGAGATGACATTTTAGTTAGAACAGACACAACAAGTAAGAAAAGTAAAAGGCAGATATGAATTTAAAAGAAGCAGATCAAGGTAAGGGGCTTAGGAATGAGACAGGAGGGGAGAGGAGAGTACAATTTCAAATAAAGTGACAACTATGGTAGATCTCTGTGAGGAAGTCACATTCAAGAAAAACAGTATTTCTTTTAGGCTTTAAATTGAACTTTTGTTTTCCCTCCAAAATTGTTGTTAACAACATCACATTTCAGTACACTAGGTAGTCTATATGTTTTCTTATATTTGGCTATTCTTTTCATCCTAGTCAAACACACATTGAACATTTTTAACTACTCTGAAGGTGCAAGACACTGGTGATACCACGATGGATGAGACAGACAGGAATTCTGGGCTCATAGCTTAGGATCGGTTGCTGGTACAGCTTCCTTCATGGGGGCTTCCCCCAGCAGGCTGGCTGGGTCCTGTTTCTAATCTCTACTCTCTTAAGGAGGCGCTTCTGGCAGGCTATGTCCTCATCGGCATCTGGTTCTCAGGAATTAATTTTTGATTGCATAAAACCATCCCATAGTGGCTACACAGCCTTTGTCTGGTCTTGCTCTAGCGCCGGTGCACCTGGGTACAGGACCCACTTTGTCTTTTGGTTCTATCTCAATCAGCCAAATATTTCAAACCAGGTCTTTGACATCTGCTCTGCAATTAGTGACTGCTCACTTTCATATTCATAGCTAACTTAGCCTACCCCAAACTATATGGAAATAGCATTCCATTCTTCCAGAACTAAACTTCATTCTTATTTCAAGTATGCACTCAGCTTGGTGGCTGGAGCATAATTTTGATTCGGTCCCTTTTCTTGGGGTTTTGTCTAATCTCTGGAGACTGAAGGAGTCGTTTTCCTGTTTCCCAGGCACACTGGGACCCCAGGAATCACCCAGGGATCTTCCAGGCTTGATCACTTAGTCATGGGCTACAAACACAGCTATCTTCCGGACAGGGAGAGAGAGAGGCCGAGACAACGTGTGAGAAAGTAGGAGCAGGTAAGAATGAGTTGTGGAGGGGTCAGAGTCACCTGGGAAGTACAGACTGAAGGGATTGAAATCCAACATTTCTATAAACCCTACTGGTTACATAAAACATCCCCTCAGACTAGATTTGTACCAGGGACTGAAGCCAGGCATGCTGGGACCTTGTGACAACGGAGCCATTTCTACTCTGGGGTCTTGCCACGAGTTCAGACTCTACTTGAGGAAGGGCCCCCGGTTCCCTCTGTTGTGGGATTTTTTGCCTGCTCCAGGGCTTCCCTCACTGCCCTCCCTCCCCCCAGCGTGGGCAGGAGCACCAGGTGCTGAGCCCGTTTCTCAGGGTATGCAGCGTCCACAGATTTCTCACATCCCCCTTCCCAGTCCGGAGGACCCCATGCCATTTCTCTTGTGTGTCTGTGACTCCGGCCACCAGGAGCGGGGCAGCCTTGCTCTGAGCTGCACACCTGCTCCTAAGGCCTGCCTCTGCAGCCCCAAACCTGAGCTCCAGTCGCATCTCCATTATGTGCTCTGCGTTTTTCTCTGCATCTTCCTTCTCCCAAGGAAATGAATGTAGAATCCCCAACCCCAGTTTTTACAAATTGTAAGACAAGCATCACAGGTGATACTGAGTGGCTTTAGGAGGAATTCAGGCTCCATGCATTAAATGGTGTTGAATCACATTGTGATAAAGTGATTCGCTTTTTAATTCTCTATCACTCCTGATTAGGCCAAAGAGAAATATTCTGCTAGGAAACCCACGCTCATCAAATCACCCGAGTACACTCACTATCTCTCTCTTTAACATAGAGTAGGGGCACAGACTCAGACTTTCACTGAGAATAGTATTTAGGTACAAATTAATAGCCTCCTTTTAAAAATTTCATGTAGTTTGTGCTTACCTTCTACTTAAAACAGAGTGAGATGCACCTTCCCTTTTAGTTTTGTGTTGTTAAGTTTCCTTTTGAAATAATTTTTCATGAAATAAATGAATTAAGAGAAAAAAAGAAAGCAATGAAAGCATGCAGGTTCTTCACTGAGATGGTGAAAATCAAGTAGGAGGGGAGGAAGTAACTAAAGTTTATGAAATATTGCCTTGTCTGCCTGCCTTGGGAAGGGAATTGGTACAAGGAAATTCAGGAGACCACCATTAACATTTCCAAATAGCTTCTTTCTATGGGAATGAAAGCAAATTTTCTTTCTTTGGAAAGAAAATATTTCAAATTGTTTGTTAAGACTTTTTCAAAAAATCCATTCTTGCCGTTCAAAAATACTTCTACTTGTCCTTTGCCAGGTCCCATCCAATTACTTTCAGAGACTTAACATTTGCTTCAAATGCACCTCATGAACTCACTCATAATCCACTTCTAACCCACTCCTTCATCATTGAGAAAGCCAACCAGGTCAGACATGGGCTCCCCAAACCTGAAATTCAGCTGTCCCATCTTATGAGTAAGTACATCTAAGTGAGAGTGCCCTGCGGGCATTTGGATGTATGATCTGGAACTAAGTTATTACCATAAAGGCATAATTAACATCACCTTGGTCATGGAGGGCGTGGTGAAAGGGAACAGTGAAGGAAAGAAGATGAAACCCTATAGTAAAAAAAAATAGTATGAAGGGACAGCTGAAGGCTGGGTTAATGAAATATTGCCTTGGCTGCCTGCCTTGGGAAGGGAGGTGGTACAAGGTTTTAGACAAAAGGAAAGGGAAAGGATCCTTTTCCTCCATTATTTTGATTCCATTTTTGCCAAAACATTGTTTCATGAACTATTCTCTTTTTAGTTGAGATCCTCATCCTTTCTTGGTCTCCTGGCTATTTTCCAGCAGCCAAGAATGAAAACACCTCTTCAGATCGCTATTGTCCTTGGTGGCTGTGGGGATCTCTGGTGGTGGTCACCCCCAAAGGATAATGACCAGTTTCCCCACTGTCCTGCTCGGTCAAACATCTTAGAAGATTGGTTTGCATCTACTCTCTCCCCTTGCTGCAACCGGGATTCCCTCCTCCCCTCCCTCCACTGAAATTCCTTTTTCTAGAGCCACCTGTGATCTCCTAATTGCCAGTTGAATGCACGTTTTTATTTCTCCCTTCTTGATCTCATTGATTTTCTGTTCTTCTGGCGCTGGTTGCGCCCCTTCTTTCTCACATCTGCTGCTCCATGCTATCCTGCTCCCACTTTCTCCTCATCCCTTCCATGGAAGCCTTCAGCTGTCTCTTCATACTATTTTTTTACCATAGGGTTTTATCTTCTTTCTTTCACTGTTCCCTTTCACCATGCCCTCCAAGATCAAGGTGATATTAATTATGCCTTTATGGTAATTACTTAGTTTCAGATCATACATCCAAATGCCCATGGAGCACACTCACTTAGATGTACTTACTCGTAAGCATGGCAAACACAACATATTTAAATAGGTCTCTCCATCATTCCCTTTATGCCAGATTCTTCTAACCCATTTCTTATTTACTTTGATCACACTGGAACCCTCAATATCTGCAGCAAAAAACTGAGAGAATTTTTGTTCAGGAAGCACGGGGGATGGGACAATCTCCAGTCTCTTCCTCCAGTAAAAACATCAAACTCCTCCCTCTAAGAGTAGTTTTTGTTTTTAAATAACGATAAGGTGGTTGCCCTCTTTCTTGTTACGTTTTAGACATGATTTCCTTCACACATTAACACAGCATCATTTACATTGAACCAGATATTACATTCTGTGACTATAATATTTCCCCAATGTATTCTCCTTTTCCCATGCTTATTGTCACCCTTCCTAGCTCAGTCACAAATAGTCTTTCTCCTAACTGCATTAATAGAGTCTGACCCAGTCTTCTCTTCCATCCTCCTTTGTACACACCCTTCACATACAAACAGCAACATAGGGCCCTCCATTCTGCTGCTCCCTGATGCTAGAAGCATTATTTACTCACAGGACGAAGCCTAAACCCCAGGTACAACACAGAAGATGCCACGACTCATCTCTTCCTTCCATGCCAGCCTCATATTTTGAGACTCTCTGGTTTACCAATATGCTTCCCAATACCATACTGGTTTTCGATCCCTGCATCCCTGTCCCCACCACTGTCATCATCGGCATTTCCCTCCACTGCCCCAATAACTTTTCCTCCTTTTTGAAAAATAAACTTGGCTATTACTCCTCCAATAACACTCCCCCAACCCCAGCACAACAGCCCCCAGCAGGCAGGGCTCGCAATCTTTGAGGTCCCATTGGATCTTGTGCCTAGTTTCATCAGAGCACTCCTGCACGCTGTGGAAAATCACCTGTGTACACTCCTGTTTCCCCATCAGACTGTGTCCTCCTCAAGGAGAAGTACTCTTTTATCCTGAGTCCTTAGCGAGGTGTTTCATACATGCTAGGCGCTCAATAACTTCATAAATATTCCTTCACACCATTGTATCATTTGATAACAATGAGGCATTGTTACATAATTAGGGATGTTGAGATAATATTTCTCAGAATTGTTAATAATATTAACATACTAATAAGGCCCTATGGCCACTGTCATAATTATTCCAGTCTGTGACTGTGCAAACCCAGCCAGGGTGTGAAGGAATGGGCGTGGCTGTGTGGTACACCAAACTGTATCCCGGCCAGGAGCTGGATTTGGCCCACAGGCCATAGTTTACAAACTCCCCATTTAGTAGATCACAAGGTACAAATATGAATCCCTGCTTCGCTTTATTGAGGTATAATTGACAAATAAAGTTTGTACATATTTAAGATGTGCAATATAATGTTTTGGTGAGTTAGACTTTTTGAAAGAGAAATTCATATGTTTCTTTTTTTGTTGACTTAACATAAGCTAGCATCTTATTTTTCATTTTTTCAAATTGGTTAACTTCTGTATTTTGGAAATAAGGTTACATGCTCTTTTAGTATAGTTCTAGACAGAACTATGAGTTTAAGCGATTACTATAAAGATCACTGTCTTTTGTTTTAAGGGCAATCACAAACTGGAACTCATTAAAAATGAATAAAAATTAAAGTCATGTATGTTAGGAAAATACAATTCCAGTTTTGACTGATAATCATTTTTCCTCTGGGAACCTAATGGCTGCAAAGGAAATGAGAGATAAGCAAATTCCAATATTTTCATAACTTGGAAAAGCAAATACTTCACATGGATCAACTGCTACTAAATTTAATAAGAAACATCCAGTAACCCTCCCTGTTAATTTAGTAGAACATCACCTTCCACAAATAAACACTAAGTCTGTTCTGTGTGTTTTTTTCCTGCTTACTTTGCCATGAAAAGGGAAAGAAAACAATAATAATAGTTCAAAAAACTTTAATCTCTAGACATGCCACCCTATTCTGCTACTTATATGTATCGTTTTTCATTTAATGTCTTTTCTGTTTTCCTTTCTGTCTGAGAAAAGATTGTTTACCTGCCAAACTCTGGGATTGGAGACCTGTGCTTCTTCAACTATTTCACAGAATATATGTGATAAGACACAGCACTTTTCCAGATCAAAAAGCAGCCTATGGGGACTTTTCTATAGAGTGTTAGAGGCCACTTAATAACTCTTCTTAGAGCAGCCCTCACACACTGTCTTCAAATAATTTCCTTTCATTTTTCCAAGAAGATACCATCTACGACATTTCTTTTTCCATGTGCAGTGTTTAGAGGCATTGTGCATGTTGTTCACCATCAATGACCTTCCAATTAGAATTTGTCACTCTCTTTCCCCTGGAATCTGCCGGTTTAAGAATATCTTCTTTCTCAAGAGTGAAAGTCTCATGCCGACAGACAATAGAGCCGCACAACATGCATTTTTGTTCCTCTCCGAGCCTGGACATTTAAGTCATCTATTTTTTCCTGTCTCTAGGGCTTTTTTTTCCTTCCTAATCTGCTAACAATAACTATATTCATATTTTCTCTAGTATGTGCTGCAATATCTTTCCCCTCAAAGTTTCGAGACCTTGAACAAAGATCAATTTATTAAATTAATCCACATGAGGAAAAGAGGACAGAGAATTACCATGTCACTCATATGACTAAATATAAAAATGTTTGATGTTTATCAGAGGGGACAGGAAGCATGGGGGATGGGACAATCCCAGTCTCTTCCTCTGGTAAAAACATCAAACTGCTCCCTCTAATAGTAGTTTTTGTTTTTAAATAGTAAGATGCTTGCCCTCTTTCTTGTTACGTTTTAGGCTAGGGAATCAGGGAAAAAACCTCTTTAATTCCCAGAAATACACTATTTAATAAAAATTTCCCATAGGCCCTAATATTTTCCTTTTGGATCCCATTTTAGAGGCAAGTTTTTGTTCAAATCATCTTTCATAAATTAAGGAAAGAAATAAACTAGGAATATGTGTTACAAAAGTGTAAGTCACATTTTTGCTCTTTTCAATATGGTTTCTTTAACATGTGACTTACCTTTTTAATTTCCCTTTCACTGACTTCTCTAGTCTACCTTAAAAGGTAACTTTAAAAATATTTGTCTGACCCTAATATTTCTTAATTTTTTGCTGTTGTTTCTCTGAGTGAAGCAAGATACAGAAGTTGGTTGTGACACAGAATAGCTCACCTGATTACAATTATCATTTCTTTTAACTTTTCGACAATGTCTTTATGAAGATTAAAATGTCAAATCAGATGCAAATTTTAGTGGTATAGCTGACTGACTTAGTGAACTTACTATGTACTTCATAAGGATGAAATATAAAATAAGTTTACAAGATTCTTGGACATAAACTCTTGAAAATTCTAGGGGCACAGTAGGAAGAGGCAGGATACAGTGATGATTTCAACGTCTCTGAGGCAGTGAGTCAAATTACATTTGTTGATGAAGAGATAAACAGGTAAGACTGTTTATGTGGGTAAAATGCTTACTCTCAGGAGAGAAGATGGATTTCTGAAAGCTTTCCCTACTTTCTTTTTATGTTACTGTGAGTTCGATATGTGGAGAATATTACTGTAAATGTGAGAAATTTTGCACATTTTTAGACAAGAGTAACAAGTGCAACTCCTTTTTATTACAGAATTATTAGATCAAAATACGGGGAACTTGGATTGTGTTATAGGAAATATACAAGTCAATTTTAAGTTGAATTCATGCTAAAATCAAGAAATGTGCAAAATAGTCTAATCCAGTGTCAATGTTTAAAATATAAAGGTATTAACATCAAATTGGGAAAATACACTATGAGAAAAAAGCTATTATAAATTTTCCATTTTACCTGGAAAGCTGATATCTTCATACATTTTAAAAAATAGCCCTACATTCATCTGGAAAATACATTATTCAGTTTGCACAAAGAGTGTCTGACACAGTATTCAGCAAATAGTAAGCCCTTCATAAGTGTTTGTGGATTGAATGGACAGAACACTTTGTGGATTTAAATCATCACCTCTCTCCTCACCAAATTAAATCTTAGCTAACAACAGCACCCCCTGGCTCAGCAGCTGGAATTCATCCTTTGGGGAGAGTGGCATCAAGAAGCAAAGTGGAGGGACCCTTCAGAAGTGCGCTCCAAGTGCCAAAGCAACATTGCAAGGTGAAGGGCTGCAAATCCTTAGTGTGTGCTTTCCAGGAGGTGCCATTCTATAGCTGAAGTGGCATCCCTCTCCTAGTGCTAATTTTCTGGATCTCTAGTCTTTCACATTATGATTGATCCGATATAAACACATTTCTATAGCTAGATTGCTTGAAACTTGCTCAAGTTTGACCTGTGACCTTCATTTATGAAAAATGGATATGCTTGAGTGCTCTGCACTGACACTGAGCATGTTCAATTAATGCTTACATTATAAAGAATGTGCAAACAACACAAATGGAAATTAAATCCTTTTCACTATCTGTCTGCATCTGAGCATTCATAAATTGAAATAAGTGTGAAAGAGCTGTCCTCAATCAATTTCAGCTCCAGTCCCTGACCCGATTATGCTATGCGTATCAATATATGTTCCCTTAATTAAATGTGGTTCAGCGAGCATTAATGGTATTTAAAAAAGAGAGAGAATTGGAGCCTCCTATTACTACCCATCATGTTGTTGGGAAAAACAATAGAGAGATTGATGAAAAGGATCATTGGCAGAAGGAAAGATGTTGTATACATTATCATAATTATCTCCTATGCTGAGTGATTTCAAAGCAAGACACTAAGGGTGTCACTATTTTTTCCTCAGCAATCTCTTGCAAGTTCTAACGATTACAGGAAGAGGCAGAGTAGCTACATCAATTTCAGAAATTCAGTACTGTTCTT
The DNA here is from genome assembly GCF_000001405.40 of Homo sapiens. Taxonomy (NCBI): domain Eukaryota; kingdom Metazoa; phylum Chordata; class Mammalia; order Primates; family Hominidae; genus Homo; species Homo sapiens. The sequence continues at coordinate 164,418,539 of NC_000006.12, forward strand.
GGTATTCCCACTATTCACTGCTTATTTTGACACTGCTACAAACATTTTCAAGCCTTTACTGACACTCCAGTTAGGCAATTCAAGCAAGTTACTTCATAAGTTTCAGCTTTATTCCTGAAAAAAATTTTAAAAATGTTCTCTCAGTGTGGTTTTTAAAAAATTATTTTACTTTATGTTCCGGGATACATGTGCAGGACATGCAGGTTTGTTCCATAGGTATACATGTGCCATGGTGGTTAGCTGGACCTATCAACCCATCATCTAGTTTTTAAGCTCCGCATGCATTAGGTATTTGTCCTAATGCTCTGCCTCCCCTTACCCTCCACCCCCAACAGGCGGTGATGTTCCCCTCCCTGTGTCCATGTGTTCTCATTGTTCGACTCCCACTTATGAGTGAGAACATGAGGTGTTTGCTGGAAGCCATCATCCCCGGTGTGCTTTTAAGCAGAGCTAATGTCTCTCTTCTTTCTCCTCGCTATCTAATTTCCTTCTTTCTTTTCTACTCTGTTGTCTGCAGAGCCAGCAGAATGACTTCTGCAGAAGAAAATAGTTGTTGATGATGCTAGAGCCCACGGGGAATCCATGGCTTCCACAGGGTTTCTTTCCCATCCGTGCTCCTGATGACGGCAGGCCCTACACTGAGTGTTGCTTTCATCAGTGATGTGCTGCTAGTGGGGTTAGAAACTGCTCATTAGAGGTTCTCACAGGGATAGCTTTTTAGTCACTTTACTTTGGAGCCTGGAAGATTAAGATCTGACAGACTGGAAGAGTCACATATTGACTCAGAGGGAGGTAGGAGGAGAAAAGTAGAACAGGATTTCCTTGGCTGGCTCATAGTCCTTTTGCAAAAAGATATAGCTGCAGCACCCACTGGCATAGTTGCCAGTGCATGCTATTACCTTTGGTAGCCGTATGCAGTAAAGAGCTGCCATGTATGACAAGGCAAATCTTGAAGGGGAGGTAAGAAAAGTAAGAATTGATTACACCTGAAAGGATTGGCTTCAGAAAATGAGCCAGACTCCCTATGAATACCAGAAAAATGACAGACACCTGCTTCTTCTCACCCCTGGGGGCTAATTCAGTCCTGAGGTAGAGAATTGGATTCTAGGAAAGCTCAGAATTGATGTCAGGGATCTGTTGGCCTTGGCTGGTTCTAAATGTGTCCTGAGTAAAAGATCTGTGGGAGGTAGAGCAGAAAGAACAAAGCACCTGGTTGCTCACCACAGATGTCGTTTAGAGGGATAACTTGGTGCTTCTGGGAGTCCCAGATTGCATATTTTCTTTTCTTTTTTAAAGGATACTCTGAATTAAAGAAAACTCAGATTTTTGGTGACTTAAGGAACTAGATTTGATTAAATTAGTTTTAATTGTCATGAGGAAGGCTATGTACAGTTTATGTCCTATTTTTTCTTAGTTTTTGACAACCAAATATATACCAGCTTAGATGGAGGACATGGTGGATGCATGGCTGGTGTCTTCCCTGAATCAACTTACTTTTTTTCAGTATTTTTTATTTTCAATTCTCCCTCTCTATTAGCTGTTTCTTGTCAACATTTAAATATGTTTGTAACTCTGCAGCTTAATAAAAACCAAAAACATAAACAATATATGTCCAAAAGTAAAAGAGAGAGAGGAAGAAAGAAAACACCCCATGAGTTGGTCTAAATGCCGATCTTTCCTCTTTAGCTGCCTGTAGCCTTCTCCTTCTCCTCTTCACAGCCAAGCTTCTTAAAAGACATGTCTAGTTGTTCCCTCTACAGCTTTACAAGACACTCACCCTGAAATTTGTTTTCTGCGCCTACGGTTCCATCAAAAGTGTTCAACAAAACTGCCAATGACCCTGTTGTTAAATGCAAAGGGCAGTGTTTAATCTGTTTCCTCCTTATCCTTAGCAGCAGCCAACACTCAGTTTTTCCTGCTAAACTTTGGCTTCCACACGCCTCGCTCTCCTGGCTGGCTTCACTCATCTCTGACCACACCTTCAGTTTCCTTTGCAGGATTCTCACCCTGGATCTTTTGCTGAACATCAGCATTAAGCTCTGAGAGTTCTCTTCTTCCTCTCTGCTTCATCATATTCACATCCATGGTTTCAATTATCAGTATTATGCTGATGATTTTTAAATCTTCATATTGCCAGCCAAGATCTCTTTTCTAAGATCCCAGCTCATATGTTAAAAGCGTCACTGGGTAACTGAAAAGCATATCTCACCTGTACTATGGTACAGGTAAAGGTAAATGTAAACATGTCAGAGAGTGAACACAATCTTCTTCTACAAAATAATTCCCCCTCCCAATGACTGAACTGAACTTCAAATCAGTTATACAAATCAAAATTCTGGGTCTCAGTGTTTACTTCACTGTCTCCTCAACTCTCCACTCATCAACACTTTTTACCATTGTATGTCTCTGAACTGAGTGTATTTTTTTTTGTCTCCATTGCAGCTTTATTTCTTTGGACAAAGCCAACATTATTCTCCATCAGCATTTCAGTGATGATCTCCTCTTTCACTTTTCCATAAGCAGGCTTGCCCACATTTTACCCTCTGCATCCATTACTTCTCTAAAATGGTCACCTGCCTGTGTCCCTGCATGGTTCCTCTGCTCTCTCCTGCCATTCTAGCCCAATCTCTGGCCACTTCCCTATGATTTCAACTTTCGACTCATAATGGATACTCTTTAAAAATTGGGCCTTTACATTCTGCCTTAAAGATATTTTTCCTCGACTTTGCCAATATTATTTCTACTTAATGTGGTTTGGCTCTGTGTCCCCACCTAAATCTCAGGTTGCTTTGTGAACTTCGGTGCTGGAGGGACCTGGTGGGAGGTGATTGGATCATTGGAGCAGATTTCTCCTTTGCTATTCTCATGACAGTGAGTTCCCATGAGATCTGGTTGTTTAAAAGTGTGTAGCACTTCACCCCCTTCACTCTTTCTATTTCTCTTGCCAACATGTGAAGATGTGCCTGCTTTCCCTTCATCTTCTACCATGATTGTAAGTTTCCTTAGGCCTCCCCAGCCATGACTCCTGTACAGCCTATGAAACTATGAGTCAATTACACCTCTTTATAAATTACTCAGTCTCAGGTAGTTCTTTATAGCAGTGTGAGAATGGAAAATACAGAACATTGGTATCAGAGTAGTGGGACATTGCTATAAAGATACCTGAAAATGTGGAAGTGACTTTGGAACTGGGTAATGGGCAGAGGTTGGAACAGTTTAGAGGACTCAGAAGAAGACAGGAAGATGAGAGAAAGTTTGGAATTTTCTAGAGACTTTTTGAATGGTTGTGGCCAAAATGCTGATAGTAATATGGACAGTGAAGTGGCTGAAGAGGTCTCAGATGGAGATGAGAAACTTATTGAGAACTTGAGTAAAGGTCACTCTTGCTGTGCTTTAGCAAAGAGACTGTGTGTCTGTGCTCTGGAGATGTGTGGAATTTTGAAGTTGAGAGAGATGATTTAGGATATCTGTTGGAAGAAATTTCTAAGCAGCAAAGCATTCAGGAATTGGCCTGGCTGCTTCTAACAGTGTACGCTCATAAGAATTCACAAAGAGATGGTCTAAAATTGAAACTTATATTTAAAGAGGAAGCAGGTCATAAACATTTAGAAAATTTGCAGCCTAACCATGTGGTAGAAAAGAAAAACCCATTTTCTGGGGAGAAGTTCAAGGCTGCAGAAATTTGCATAAGTAAAGAGGAGCTGAATGTTAGTAGCCAAGACAATGAGAAAATGCCTCCAGGGCATTTCAGAGACCTTCACAGCAGCGCCTCCCATCACAGGCCTGGAGGCCTAGGAGGGAAAAATGATTTTGTGGGCCAGGCCCTGGGCCCAGATGTTCTGTGTATCCTTGGGATATGGTGCCCTTGCCCTGCATCCCAGCTGCTTTAGCTCTAGCCATGGTTGAAAGAGGCTAAGCTATAGCTTGGGCCACTGCTTCAGAGTGTGTAAGCACCAGGCCTTTGTGGCTTCCATGTGGTGTTGGGCCTGTGAGTGTGTAGCATGCAAGAGTTGAGGTTTAGGAACATTTGCCTAGTTTTCAGAGATGTATGTAAATGCCTGGGTGTCCAGGCAGAAGTCTGTTGCAGGGGCGGGGCCCTTATAGAGAACCTCTACTAGGGCAATGCAGAAGGAAAATGTGGGGTTGGAACCCCCAAACAGAGTCACCACTGGAGCACTGCCTAGTGGGGCTGTGAGAAGAGGGCCACTGTATTCCAGACCCCAGAATGGTAGATCCACCAACAACTTGCACCGTGTACCTGGAAAAGCTGCAGGCACTCAATGCCAGCCTGTGAAAGTAGCTGCCGGAATTGTACCCTGAAGTACCGCAGGGACAGAGCTGCTCAAGGCCTTGGCAGCCCACCCATTGTGTCAGTGTGACCTGAATGTGAGACATGTAGTCAAAGGAGATTATTTTAGATCTTTAAGATTTAATGACTGACCTGCTGTGTTTTACAGACTCGCACAGGGCCTGTAGCCCCTTTCTGTTAGCTGATTTCTCACTTATGGAATGGGGGCATTTACCCAAAGCATGTATCCCCATTGTATCTTGGAGATAACTAACTTTTTTTTTTTTTTTGAGACAGATTCTGGCTCTGTCACCCAGGCTGGAGTGCAGTGGCATGATCTCAGCTCACTGCAAGCTCCACCTCCCGGGTTCATGCCATTCTCCTGCCTCAGCCTCCCAAGTAGCTGGGACTACAGGTGCATGCCACCACACCTGGCTAATTTTTTGTATTTTTAGTAGAGACGGGGTTTCACCGTGTTAGCCAGGATGGTCTCGATCTCCTGACCTCGTGATCCGCCTGCCTTGGCCTCCCAAAGTGCTGGGATTACAGGCATGAGCCACCATGTCTGGCCCAACTAACTTGTTTTTTACTTTACAGACTCATAGGCAGAAGGGACTTGTGTCTCAGATGTAACTTTGGACTTGGACTTTTGTGTTAGTGCTGGAATGAGTAAAGGCTCTAGGAGACTGTTGGGAAGGCATGATTGTGTTTTGAAATGTGGGAAGAACATGACATTTTAGAGGAGCTAGGGGAGAAATGATATGGTTTGGCTCTGTGTCCCTACCCATATCTCATGTTGAATTGTGTTCCTGAATGTTGGAAGGACCTGGTGGGAAGTGATTGGATCACTGCGATGGACTTCTCCCTTACTGTTCTCATGGTAGTGAGTTCTCACAAGGTCTGGATTTTGAAAGTGTGTAGCACTTCCCCATTCATGCTCTCTCTCTCTCTCTCTCTCTCTCTCTCTCTCTCTTATCACCATAAGAGGACATGCTTGCTTCCCCTTCTCCTTCCACCATGATTATAAATTTCAAAGATCTGGATTTTGAAAGTATGTGGGACTTACTCCTTCATGTTCTCTCTCTCACCACCATAAGAAGACATGCTTGCTTCCCCTTGTGCTTCGACCATGATTGTAAGTTTCCTGAAGCCTCCTCAGCCATGCCTCCTATACAGCTTGTGAAACTGTGAGTCAATTAAACCTCTTTTCTTTATAAATTACCCAGACTCAGGTAGTTCTTTATAGCAGTGTGAAAATAGACTAATACAGTAATTATTCTTCAAAATTTGTTTAAATGACTTTTTTTTATAAGCGAAGCTTAACAGCTCTTTATCCTCACCCTAATATAATGTTCCCTGCTATGTATTGCTATGATTACTTTAAATTTCCTAATGTTTTATCATCAATTTTTGCTTAATTGCCTATTAAACTATAATGCTTATAAAAGAATGCAATCTTAGTAGTTATTAACAGACAGAGCTATGATTATAGCTGAATATGGCATTCACTCAAAGGAAAAACCATGTAAAATTATCATTTGTATTTACATTTATTGATATGGAAAATATTTTTAATAATTTTCTATAATATTCTGTTAAGTGAAAAAAATAAGGTTCAATATAGCATGTGCACTATGTTCCAATGATTAATAAATAAATTTGCTTTAAAACCAGGAAGGAAAGCAACACTTCCAGAATAGTGGGGTGAGGACCTTGGCAAATAATACTCCCCAGCAAAGGCAACAAACACATTGGCAATGCTACTCTAAAGGAGCATTTTTACAACTCTGTAAATTAACTAAAGACTTAAAACAGTGTAAGGAGTGTTTATTCAAGAAAATCTGCTGAACCTTGGTAAGAACAGCACAGTCTGTGACAATTCATCTCCATCGACTCCCAGCCCTGTTTCCCCCAACTGTGCTCATTAGTGTTGAAGCCCAGCAATCTCACAGCAACCAAAGAGGACAAGTTGAGTTTGAAGTTCCCCAGAAAATCTCATACGAAGTGCAATGTTACTATTTGACCTGTCTCACAGTTCCCTGGAAAAATTCTGTTGTTTTACACAACTTGACTCAGTGCTGTTTTTTCAGGGAAACCTTTATCCTCAAAGCTTTGGGGGAAACAATCAGTAGTGATCATTCATCATCCTGCTTCCCGGGGCTGCAATGCCAGTCAGGGCAAACAAGAGCTAAAAAACCTGGCCAAAACTTTAAAAAGGGAGACCTGTGGAATGACAAATTTAACCAAAAAAAAGTCATTCTTGTGCACTAACAACTACAAAACATGGTTAAAAGAAATAAAAAGACTTAAATAAAATGAATAAAAAGACATCATCTGTTCATGGATCAGAAGAGTTAGTATTATTAAATAGCAGTTCTCCCCAAATTGACCCATAATTCAGTGCTCTTCCTATTGAAATCCTAGTCTTTTTGTTTTTTTGTTTTTTATTTTGCAGAATTTGACAAACTAGTCCTTTATGGAAATGCAGTGACCCAGAATAGCCAAAACAACCTTGAAAAAGACAAAATTGGAAGACTAATACTTCCCAATTTCAAAATGTACTACAGAGAATCTGATTACTTCTCCAGTTTCTGAGTTTAATTGCAGTAAATACACTAAGCAACTAGTAGAAAGCCCATATTGGATCCTTGACCTAGGTAGTAAAGATGATTTAAAAAGAAATGTCAAGTGAGCATCTCTATAGCTCTTCAACCCATCAAGATAATAAACCAAAAGCAATATTTCTTTACTCGCCAAACTGTGTCTTATTTTTGAAAAACTTTGCTTAAACTACCTATAGTTGATTATGCTGTCAGCAACTGAGACCCCTATTTATAAATGTCTATCTCCATTGTAGAATCAAAATAAGATTGTTTTATATGTTTTATGTTCTATTTTATTGTATAATAAATGTATGTTCATTATCTGGGCAAGATAGTAAGATTTTAAGAGGTTTTGCTACATATGCTTTGATTGCCTGGACTCTCAAATAATTCCCTTTACCCTGGATCTCACCTCTCATACCTCTCATTGTTGAGTGGGGACTAACTTTTTTTTTTTTTTTGAGACGGAGTCTTGCTCTGTCACCCAGGCTGGAGTGCAGTGGTGCGATCTCAGCTCACTGCAAGCTCCGCCTCCCGAGTTCAAGTGGCTCTCCTGCCTCAGCCCCGAGTAGCTGGGATTGCAGGCGCATGCCGCCGTGCCTGGCTAACTTTTGTATTTTTAGTAGAGACGGAGTTTCACCATTTTGGTCAGGCTGGTCTTGAACTCCTGACCTCGTGATCCACCCACCTCAGCCTCCCAAAGTGCTGGGATTACAGGCATGAGCCACCGTGCCCAGCTGAGTGGGCACTAACTTTAGAGACTATCCTAGCCCTCTGTTTTCTTGCAGGGAGAGGCAACAGAGTAAAAACCAAATTCTGTGACTGAAGCATTGGTCAAAGGATTGAGTTTTGGCACAAAGTTATCTTACATGGTTTGGAGAGTTGATTAGGGTCCATTACTGTGCTCTGGGTTTGGTTCTCTGGGCCTTTGGTTTCTCCTTCTGGGTCTTCCTTCTTTTCCATGAAAGTAACTGAGTGGTTTTCCTCACCTTGCTTCTAATGTATAGTGATCTGGGCTCTTTCCTGTGGTTACCGTCTGACAAAGGGGAGCTAGAATAGCTGGGATCTGGCCAGATATCTTTCTTTTCAGGAGACTTAGGACTTTTTCTTCTGGTTTCTCTGCATAAGCATGTTTGGGTTAACTTGTAGCATAGTAACCTCACAGCAATAGGACTACTTACCATTTGGTTCAGGGCACCATAATGAGCACTCCAAACATCTAGGTAGATGTTGCAGCCCCTTTTCTGACATAGCCTCAGATTCACACAGCAACATTTTGGATACTTCTTATTAGTTCAAATAAGTCAGAAGCCAAGATTCAAGGAGAAAGGACATAGACACCACCTCTGAATGGGAGGAGATTATGTTTGCATTGTTGAATAGTTTATGGGATGGGATTTATTGTTGGCTGCCTTTAGAAAAAAACAGCCTTCCCCATGAAGTAATATAATATTGATTAACTTGTTACGTTGGCCTCACAAGCACCATTGCTGGTGGCTAAAGTGTTGCTCCTTTGGGGCTTAGAACTGATTGTCACAAATAAATTGAATTTAGCAGAGGTGCAACTGTTGCTTTTAGTAGAATATCTTTCAGTGTATAATACAATTCCAGTTTCATATTGGAGAGTGCAAACCCTCTGAATTGAGACATTCGTAAAAATACAAAGATGTTTACAAATATCCTAGGCAAATGGCTCAAAAAGATGTGTTAGAATGCTTAAAGCAAGGTCAAGGCTCATGAACTCCAGGGCACTTGAGATATGGAGGCATATGCAAACATCTTGTCAGGTCATTTCCTTAAACTATAATTTAACCTCTGCTCCTATCTCAGAAAAATGATATCTTATTAGTTATTGCTACCTATGATTTAAAATATCATAACCTATTTTGAAGAATCTATGGAGAAAAAGAAAACACTAACCCTAGAAATACTGAGGAAATATAAGAAGCTACTGAAAACCTTTAAACACACAGCAAATTCTTAAAGGAAGCTTACCAAGTAAGACTAGGGATATAGCAGTTCTCTTGTAACATCTAACATCAGGGTGGTAAGGAGCATAAGTGGCATGTGAGTTGTTTATAAAAAACATAATAATAATAAATAATTATTGTTACAAAATTTTTTAAATAGTATAAATATTATTAGTATTTCACTGCCACCTCAATATTTTTGTTTTACTTTGCTAATGAAAGAATTGCTATATGGTGAATTAGTGCATATTCTAACCTATTGTTGTATTTGTTATTGGATCTTGGGTGAACTTGGTGATTGCAATAAGTATTCAATAATTTGATTTTAAAATATTCCTATTTGCAGAATGATCACTCTCCAAAGGTACAGAGTAAGATTGTTATTGATTAAACAATGCACGTTTGACCTTTCTGGCTGGGATTGTAGGATTGGTACTCACAAGATCTTACAGCAGCAAGGAAGTACACAGTTTGTTCATTCTAGAACCCCCTTATGCAGTGCTGAGGGAATTACCAGACTATAATGAAATGTAAATTAATTCCACACTCTTTGAGGTTCAAATAAAGTTCAGTGTGACAAGTCTTCTTGGTACTTGTTATACTGGAATAAGCCCTACTCTAATATAACAGATTAAAGCATTTTCATATTTCTTTTTCATTATTTAAAATAAATAGCACTGCCTACTCTCTCCCATGAGATCATTGGCTTAAGACACATTCCCAAAATAAACTAAGATGACAAACAAAATCAATAATCCAATAAGGCTGAAGGAGGGCTGTTGCGTTCAAGGCTTTTTATGCACCCACTTCCCATTTGGTTTCAGTCATAATTCAAGGTGGTTCCTGTGAGTTATGAACTTCTGTCAGCAGAGAGGCTGGTTGATTCATCCCAAGTTTTCCTCTCTGCATGCCTTTCACTCTGATTGAGAGCAGATCAGAAGATGGCAGATGAATTTCAGGGATGTACCTAGCCCTGGCCTTACCCAGTCATATGCATGCCACTGATTGTGATGCAGAATATGGCAGAAAAAACATTTAAACACAAAAATGTCAGGTTGAAAATAAATACAGGGTAAAGGAAAAAATGTAATATCTAGATGTTATAATTATATTTTCTTCCAAAAAATGCTTTTAAAATTCTTTTTGTTCCTATTTCACTCTTCTAACTCCTTACCTATCTCTAGCCCAAAAACCCCCTGATATAGGTTTTCAGGAGACCCACTTACAATCCACTGTAGATATACTCTTCCCCATTTAAGTGTAATAACATCAACATCTTCTCCTGTGGTTTTTAGTTATTTTATACCTATAGCTTTATTTTTCTGAAGAACAGCTAACGTGAGGACTTGATCATTTGTAAAGGCTATTAAAACAATATATACCTATGAATCTAGTGTTTTCATTTGCATACCCTATGTAAACAAGGAGTGTGATTTTGAGTCTATATAACTAGTATACACATACCTGCATTAATAAACATTGTGGTCACGTCTTAAGTTTCAAAGCCAAAGGGAATTCAGAAAAATGTAATGGGCTCCCAATAAAAGAAGAGATGCACATTTTAAACAGAGAGTACAAAATCAGCGTATTTTTATAAAGAATCTGAATTTCATAAATGGCAGTTCCAGATACACTAAAACTGATCATCTGTTATTACTTGAGTACATTTCTCTAACGCCTTTCCTAACAGAAAGTTGCATACAGAAAGTGCCTCTTTAAACTTCCATTTGGATTATCATGAGGTGCATATTTGAGACTTCTTGTTTTTGTTTGGTTTGCATTTAAAGTTTTGCTTTTAAAATGTAAGCAAATAGCCAATGAATAAAATGAGTAGTTTGGTGTCCATCTACCTACTATGCACCCATAATTATATTTAGATGCCTCTTTTGATACTCTCAAAAAACTACAAACATTTTACTAATCCGTTGTCTATTTATTCTACTGTGCTTAACATGGTAACAGGCAAATTTTAGACAATGAAATATACCTGGATGTGACCCACACATGTAGTCATTCATTTATTCCACTCTGCTTATCACAGGAAGAGTACATTCCAGACGATAAAAGTTACCTGGGTAGTTCAGTTGCTGATATGAATATGTTTAGAAAAATATTTTCCATGAAGCAATTTGTTTTTCTTTTGTATTTTCAAGGATTAAAATTTTTTGCTTACATATCCATCAAGGTGGCTTTCTGTTTTCCAAATCTCTCCCTTCCAGCCCATCAATCATCTACTGTAATTGCTACAACCATGATTATTTTTCTGCTCAAAGACATTCAATGTCTCACTATTGCTTACAGTAATATTATAATAACACCCAGCATGATTTTCAGGCATTCTGCCATGTGACTCTCTGAACTTTTGTTTCCTAACTATTATCTATTTTTATACAGTAATTCATTGATGTTGCATTTATTAACACCAATATATTCATGTGAAAAATTACAAAACCCATTAGTGAACATAAGAGCTCACAATCAATAAGGAATAGTGGCATGCAAATAAATATTTCAATACAATGAAATGGGTACTGTCATGAAGGAAAAAGTTACATGAGTGCATTAAGAAAGAGAACGCCTATGTGAGTGGAAGATAACTTTCCAGGGAACACCTATTAGTTGAACTGCTAGCAATGGGTAGGAGTTTATCAAGTCAACAATGGGCAAAAGGGTATGTAAGAAGAAAAGAGAAAAGTGAACACAATATGAAACCATTAATTTATATACCAAGTTCCGAAAATGGTCCCAAGTATGGCTATTTTTTCAAGTGTGTCAAGGAGAGATGTGGTCAGAAATACAACTGTAGGAGAACATTAAAACTAGACAGAGAAAAATCTTATACTGAGAGCTGTCAAAAATGTTTTAGTTGAGAAATGTCATGGTCAGAAGACATTCATGTTTTATAAAATAAAATATTGAGTAAAATAGAAACTGACCAGAAAAAGCATTAACTGAAAATCCAAAAGATTAATTAAAGGTGATTAAAATTACTCAGGTAAGAGATGAAACAGTTAATAATTGGAATTGATAATTCATTAGAGGAGAAGAAAATACTTTGAAATAATTCAGAAGTATTTTATGGGACTCGATGATTGCTGAAATATGAAAGCTGAGGAAGAAGATGGGTTGATTAATAATGACTCTCAATCACTTTTCCCAACTAAGAGACAAGGTGAAAGATAATGCCATTGTAGAAGATAAGAACAGCAGGAGATAAAGTCAGTTTTGAATTCAAGAAGGAAATAAAATAATTTGGTGCTGTTTTCAATGTTTCCTCCAAAATTAATGTGTTGGAACTTTAATCCCCAAAGCAACAGTGTTGATTGGTGGGACCCTTGAGAGGTGATGAAAATCATGAGGGCTCTGCCACCATGAACAGATTAATGCCTTTATTGTGGAGATGCTTTGTTATAAAAAGTAAGTTCATTCCCCTCCTCTTATGCATGTTCACTCTCTTGACTTTCCCTTATGGGATGATGCAGCAAGAAGGCCCTCGCCAAATGTGCCCCTCTGATCTTGGACTTGCCATCCTCCAGAACCATAAGAAATCGATCTCTGTTCTTTATATATTACTCTGTCTCAGGGATTTTGTTATAGCAGCACAGAGTAAGACATATTGTTTGGGACATTTGGGGTTTGCAATGTCTTTGTAACTATTGGATAGTTTATCTAGCAAAACATTGAAATTATTGGGTTTAATGCTCAATAGACTCTCACAACTAGAGATGAAGAATTTTCAAGGAATTGCATGATGATGGTTGAAACTGAGGGAGGTAATAATATTTCAGACAAATTGTGAAGAATTAGAAAAAGGAAAGGGCAAAGACCAACACTTAGGATACATGCAGTCGAAGTCCTAGAAGACGATAAAACCCCTGAGACCATCATGCTTAAGACAAACATGGAAGACAGAATAGAAAAAATAATGAATTTTCAATAGGACTGAATAATTCAAATTCATTAACTATGAGAGTGAATGAAATGTATCTAATGAATTTATCAAGAAGAAATTTACTGGTGATATTTACCAGATTTTTTCATACAATTTTTATAGAATGGTAAAGATATAAACTTGATTGTAATAGATTAGAAGAAAATGAAAAGCAAGGAATTTGATACTGGACAGATAGAACATTTTTCAAAAATATTAGCAATAAATTTAGAGACAGATGCATACACTCAAGGGTGCCCAGCATGTGGGACCAGGTGAGTGGCCTAAGCCCAAAAGGCACTGTGTACCATTCACAAGAGAAGAATGAAAAGTGAATGGCAGCCCTGGAGAGGCGGAACACGGTGGCTTGTGCAACTCAGTATATTGTAATCAAATGTACTGAGATAATAAAAATTGGGGAAGAAAAAGATTTGAATGGGTGCAATTGAATATATTAAGTCCCTAGTACCTCTGGGTTGGAAATAAAGGAATGTAAAGAATTAAGTTGCTTTTCCTGATTTATGGACACCAATTCGGGCATTACTATCATATAGACTTTATTTAAAATGATTGAGGTAGATAAGATCACTCAGGAAAGGATGCATACAGGAGAGAGAAGGGGTCCCCTGATTGAACTCAGAAGATTTCCAGTATTTAGAAATCAGATAGAGAAGAATCCAGAAGAAAAGATGAGAAGGAATAGCAAGTGATATAAAAGGACAATAAGAATATGTCACCATAAAAGGCCAAAGATGAAAAGATTTTGAAGAGGAAATGTTTAACTGAGTGTAAAGATGTTGAGTTGGATGAAGAGAGCAAGTAGCCACTATGCTTGGTCAAATGATGATCTCAACAAAGACAATTATGATGAGAATTTAAACCTTCTACATAGTTAATTGGCTGCATTTACATGATCTTAATAATCCACTCACTTCAACAACATAACTTTCCTATTCCAGGAAACTTTTCCCAGAAAGATAAAAGTTGCAAGTAACTGTATTGTTTATTTCATAAATTTCTTGAAACATAGAATGAATTACACACCAAGACCCTTGAACACCTTACTCCCAAGTCTTGCCTTGTGTTCACCAATCCTATTATGTCATGACACTTACCCAATCCTAACAAAGCTTTCACATTGAAAGACTAAAATATACCACACTGCGAAGTGTCAATAAATATCCCAACTTTGATTTTGCGTGTGTGTGTGTGAGAGAAGCTATTAAGACTGTGAGTCAGATTTCTTACCATGGTTAAAAATAAATGCAGCTTCGTTTGATCAACAGGTTGTTTTGGTAACATGCTGGCAAAAAAAAATGATAAACAGGAATTTTATGGAATGGGTTGCAGAATAACAGGAAGTAAAACACCAGAATCAGTTTGTATATACAACAAATGTGGATAGTTCAGTTATAAGAAGGAGGTAGGTAGCTTGACAGATGTTAGACTCAAGGGAGAGATTATTTATTAAATGTTTTTAAGATGGAAAATTAAAGCCTATATGATGTACACTGAGGAAAATATATCTAGAGGAGAGATAGAAATTGATGATGCATAAAACAGAGTGCAAAACCAAAGAAAGAAAGGCAGTAATCAGGTGAAGGGGATGGGATCTACTGGGCATTTGCAAAGATAAGCTTTAATGGAAAGAATTCCTTCATAGCTCCAAGAGGAAGGGAAGAAAAAATAGTTTCAGATGCAGATGAATTCATGATTTGTTGATTTAAAGATGAAGGGATGTGTTGCAGTCTATTCAAGCCACTATAGGAAAATATCATAAACTGTGTAGCTCATGAACCACAGAAATATACATCTCATAGTTCTGGAGGCTGTAAAGTTCAAGATCAAGGCATTGGTGAATTTGATGTCTAGTGAGGACATGCTTAGTAGTCGATGGATGGCTTTTTACTCAGTCTTTGCATGGTCAAAGAGACAAGGGGTCTCTTTCAGGCCTCTTTTGTAAGGGCACCAGTTCCATTTATGAAGGCTCTGTTTTCATGACCTAATTATTTCCTGAAGGCCATACCTCCTAATACCACTACTTTGAGGGTTAGGATTTTTATTTTTATTATTATTATTTTTTTGAGACAGGGTTTTGCTCTGTCACCCAGGCTGGAGTGCAGTGGCGCCGTCTTGGCTCACTGCAACATCCACTTTCTGTGTTCAAGCTATTCTCGTGCCTCAGCCTCCCAAGTAGCTGGGACTACAGGCATGTGCCACCACATCCAGCTAATTTTTGTGTTTTTAGTAGAGACAGGGTTTTGCCATGTTGGTCAGGCTGGTCTCAAACTCCTGGGCTCAAGTGATCCACCTGCCTCGGCCTCCCAAAATGCTGGGATTACAGGTGTGAGCCACTGCGTCCAGCCAGTGTTAGGATTTTACCATCCGAATTTTGAGGGGACATAAACATTCAGACTAATGCCGAATATTGTATTTTCTATTTTTTCAAGTAAGTGTAAGTCAAAATGTAGTAACAGGGAGTTGGGGTGGGAGAAATTTGAAAAGCCAAGAAGTATGAAAAAAAGTCACTCTGAAAGTATAAAGGCAAACCAGGGACCATGGAGAACATATATATGGTCTACAATCAATATTATGAGATCAATGAAGGCTGATAAGTCTGAAAAATGCTTTTGAAATATAGGAGAGAATTATCATTGTTTATAGGAATAGAAAGCCTTCTGAGGGCAGCGGAATCTCTTGGCCGCAGTGTCAGGGAGAACCTGGCCAGAGGGCCATCCACAGATTCTTTGGAAAGCAGTGGTAGTACTGGGCCCCCAATTAACTTGGAAGCAGCTGAAACAAACCACATTTTGTTCATCTCAAAAGCTTTACAAATGATGAATAACCGTATTTCTTCAAGTGGTTTTTTTGTTGTTGTATTGCTTGCTTGTTTGATTTTTTGAGGACTCAGCACTCAGAAAGTCTTCAAGCATATGTTTATGTAATGACACCAGCATTTCTCTTTTCTACCATATACTGACCTGTATCTTCTACTGATGGTAGGGAGTTAATCTCTGAAATCTACTGGGGTAATATTAGATAGCAAATATTTCAAGATTTTTAAAACAATTTCCACGGACTGCTGAAGTTAGACACTGCAACTGTTAGGTGAAACGTAGTCAAAACTTGGCCAAGGCTGAATGTTGATGAAGAATGTCTTGGTCCTTTTGCGATATACTTCAATTTCTAGCTCTAAATATAATGTTTACTTTCAGAGGAAGCAATAAAACAATAACTTGATTGTTTTAAGGTCTCGTACCATATACTCTGCAGTTGAAGTAAAAGATCTCAATATTACGAAGCCATGTTGGTTTCATTCCCACGTTTGTTAAATGTGGAGCAGAAGCACTGACTTGAAGCAATGATTTGAAGAACACGATAAATTTAGATTTTTCAGTCATCCTTTCTGACGTCCTTTTCCTATAATTTACTATCAATTAGATGATTCACTTCCATCTGCATCATACCACCTCCCTTTAGAACCTTCTATAAAGAGCTTGATGTTTCCTAAATATGTTATACAAGCTGCCTTGTATTTGTGAGGCCTCTTTTGGAAGTGTCTAAGCTGTGAGGCTATGGTCATTTGAATTCTATATTTCAAATATTTAATTCACTTTGAACTAATTATGAATGACTCAAATATTTTCATATCCTCTTCTCCTAGTTATTTAAAATACTATACTCCATAAAAATAATTTTGGATATTTCATGTTTATAGTTATTTAAGAAATTCTATTTTAACTCTTCTGGCCATATCTTCTATATAAGAAAAAGTTTGGTTATTACACATGATGTGTGTATGTCATCAGTCAACCAAACTAACACAGTCAAGAAACTCATATGAGATGCAGAATTGAAAAGAATTAACACATGCTCATAGAATGTCTCCTAGCAGAGAAAGAATTATTAGAATTATATTTTAAAATCAGAGTGCATATGGAAAATAAAAGAAAACAAAATTTTTAGTTATTTAGGATCATAAATATTAATTATAGCAAACTGTACTTAGCTGTGGAAAGAATATTGCTAACATTTATTAATATACTGCCTGAGGTTTTTGAGTTTGTTTTAAACTCTCATACACAAGATTTAGTTCAGTAAGATTTTAACATCCCATGAATTAAGCCTGTGTGCATAACATTTCAAGCATAATATTATGCAGGATATTTATTCAGTTCTAGTGCACTACAATTAAGACTCATAGATATAGTAATTTTCATCACAATGACCATGAGACATTCCATTAACTTATGAAAGCTGAGTTCTGCTAAACATTCTGATTGTTAACATGAAACCTAAGGTCCAAAATGATTGGATTCATCCTCTCAATTTTCTAAGTTTTACTCTTTCCTGTATTTTTTTTGTGTGTGTGGCAACTGTTGAACTTTTTGCAAAAGTTTGCAAAGTTTTCCTTTATAGCATATGCCATCTTTAGCTCACAGTACTGGTTTGGAGAGTTTAGGTGAACTTACCCTTGCAACTTTTTGAGAATTTATGAAGTCCCAGTCATATTTTATGTAAAGTGTTTTCCCCCAGATCTACCAGGAAAAAACAAAACGACCTTACCCTTTCTTATGATGCACTGAAAATGTAAGTCTGAAAAGCAAAAGCTTGTAGAAATATCAATATCAAGAAATGACTTAACATGTTGATATCTCACTTGAGATAGTTTCCTCTGAAATCTCTCTCTCTTTTTTTTTTCTTTTTTTGGCAAGCGACTGTAGTTTTCGCTGTTACTTTTCCTGTTGAGACTCAAGCTCCAATCTCAATTATATATTACAAAGGGCGACTCCTGTGGCTTCTCAAAATATGAGCATGCTTTTAACATTTATCTTGTGCATTAAATTCTGTGAAAGTTATAAAATTGCAATTACTAGTTAGTTCAAAATCTAGTTTAAAAAGCTGTACATATAATGAAAATTAATAAAGGCATAAGATGAGAAAATGTTATATAAAAGAAACATACTACATCTGCTACAAAAAATCAGAGGCAGAAGAGACCCTACTGACTGTAGTGTTCAGAAAAGGTCTCACATAGGAGTTGGAACTTGAGTCCAGCCTCAAGTGTTGGGTAAGATTTGAGTCAACAGGGAAGACTAGGAGAGGAAATTCTGCCAGGAGAAAGGCATCACAATGAAAGTGAAAAAGCATACAGCATGTTCTATGGATAGGAAAACAGGTCTGGCCTGATCAGAATGTTCTTTTTGGAGATAGTAGAATGCCAGTTTGGAAATGGAAGTAGAGGAGACCTTACATTCTAGTTTAAGAAAATTCAATTCTACCCTGTGTAGTTGGGGATATCCTGAGGGTTTTTGAGATACACAAGTAGCATGACGAAATGAAAAATAATGCCAGTATTGCCACCTATGTAGGATATGATGGAGAGAATTGGATGATTAAGCAGACATGAATTAAAAGTTTTTATGTAGGAAGAAAAAAGAAATGGAGAATGTTAAGGAAAAAAGACATAGAAAGAAGTAACGTGATATTAGGCTAATCCCCTGGGGAAGTGGTGTTGGATACAATGGCTAACATTTGAAAGTTGCACATTTGGGAGACTTGGAGAAAGATGGTACTGATGACAGTAAGTGTGAAATTAGGAAGGAGCACCTGGAAGTGGGGAGTGGGGTGTGGAGAGGAAGGTATCACACGTGTCTGTAGAGTCGTTCCTAAGTGGGAACACGGCATTTAAGAGGAAAGGTCCATTAGGCAGGTGAAAGGCTTGAGTTGAATAGATTCAACTCTGCACAGCCTGAAGATTTTCTTCTCAGTTCACAGCACAGTACAAGTAATTATTCAACTCCCTGTTCCTGCTGATTAGTCAGTGGGTCAAATCAGTCACTGTAGCCATTCCTAATCAGTTAACTTTAGGCCTCATATCTAAAAGCCACAGACTTACTCTGCCTTCTCCTGAAGTAGAATTTAGAAGCATAAATATCTGGGTGGACTTCAGCTCCAGAGATACTTAGAATAAACGTGGTGCGTAAAATCTCTCTGAATCTCTTCTGTTCATCCAGTGGAAAAAAACTATCAAACTTTGCACCCCACTGCTATTCCAGCTATTGCTATTTCAGCTCAACTTATAAGGGGAAAGATGAATTTACATGAGACCTGTCACGGGGAAAAAAACTTTCAGCTACATGCTAGTCCGGTCTATAGAAAGGGCTCGTTTCTTAACTTACTTCAATCATCTTAAAAATCAGCTTCTTTTTGACCCATTCATTCAGTTTTATGAGAAAATGCCTCAAGTTTTCCACTGATTTTCCTCTTTGTGTCTCCATCCAATGTTTATTTTTTCCACAAACAACTAGGTATGACTGATATTGTTTCCCTGTTTCTCTCCCATTCCTTTATAGATAAGACCCTCTCCCTGTCCCTGAAATGAACAGTGCACCCAAAGCAAGATTGAAGCTAGGCTCTAGCTGCACTTCTGCCATTCATTGGATGTGCAAACTTCTGCAAAATACTGATTTTATTCTTTGTCTGCAAAAGGTATTTTGATTTTTCACTTAATTGCAAGATTCCTGTCAGTCATTTTTTATTTTTTACTATTTTGTCTTTTAAAATAAAATATCTCTATTTTATTCTTGACTGTAAAATGTAGATGTTGACTTTTTGGTTAATTGCAAGATTCCTGTCAGACCTTTTTTTATTGTTTACTTTTTGTCTTGTAAAGATTTTCTCCTACTGATAAAACCAAACATTCGCTTTTTTGGCATATATATCATTGTGAAGAAAACTCAGCATTTATGCACATGAATATGGCTGTAATTTATGACCCCTAATCTGAAGTGGGAACTCAACTCCACTCACCAAACATCCAATAAGCTTCAAATTTTTGTGCCCCCATATGCTGCAATGACCGTCTCTCACTACATCTTCAAGCCTCAAAACTTACATCCAACAGAACCCAACAAGTTCAGTAGACAAATAGCAGCCTCCAGATGAAAACTCTCATATTTCCACCTATAAAATGGCATGGCCTCAGCCTCTGCACTGAGCTTTTCCTTTCAGCCACTCCTTAAGCGAGGCATCACTCCTCTTACATGAGATCCAACCCTGCAGCTGTGCCGCACCCTCATCTCCACAAACTCCCAAAGGGCTTCCCAGCTTCAGTGTACCCCTGTATTTCTGACATCATCAGTTTCTACATCTCTGTGGAATCATTACTATCATATAGATAAGTTGTGGCATGTTCCAACTTAAATAATGTTTCTTCCCTCTGACCAAGTCCATATGCAGCCACGATCCATTGTTTTGTACCTTTTCACAATTAAACATCCAGAAATGATTTTCTATGCTTACTTTCTCTACTCAACCCTCATCCCATCAACTCCCAAACACACACACACACACACACACACACATCCACTGATACCATTCTTGTTAGGATCACTGCAATGTCATGTGACCCAATGAAATGGTGTGGTCTGACCAACTTTAATTTGTTCTCTTGGCCGAATTGATCTGAGCAGTCCTCCCGCTCAGAAACCCAATCTTATCTTGGCTTTCATGAAATCACAGTCCCCTATTTTTACTTTTACTGTTCTCGGTGTTCTTATCTCATTCTTGCCTGCCAATTCTAATTTCTCTACCTGTCGTATACCGATAAAATTTCATAGAGCTTAATCATGGTCTTATTCTCTGCCGTTTTTATTTTTTAATCTCTTGGTGGTCATATTCATATGACTTTGTGTCAATATTTATATGTCGAGGATTCCATAGTTGTGTGTTCAATTCAGTTCTCTACTTGACAATCTCCCTTTGATTGTCTCACAGACAACTCACGCTTTATAAAGAGTCACTTTCTGGAGAAGCCTGCCCAAGCCACTAAATTCCTTCCCTTCTTCATATCCATTGTGTTCCTCTGTTAACACTTATCAGAATGTGTGCTAATGTATTAATTGGGCTATACTTTTATTTTTGTCTGCCTGCTTGTTTTAGTCTGTCTCCACTACAACACAAAAAGTGTTGCAAGTGCCAGGGATCACCTTTTTGGCTAAAATTGATGTACACCCAGGGCTTAGCAGATTGTATAACACACATTGCATATCACACACTCAATAAATATTTGTATGTCCTATGGATTTCAGCAATGAGAGGCTTTCCATTTAGCAACCTCTTTATGTGTCCTAGATTGCTAGAAAGTGTGAAGTTTAGGATATGACTCTTTCCCGTTGCAGAGAGCTTTCCCATGTGGTCACTACAGATGAATGCAGGGAAAAGAATTCGGAAAGAATCAGTATCAAAACAAATAAATTACATGCAATAACAGCTTCTATTCTTCCTTCAGCAGCACTTGTGAGGAAGCCTTTGGTCCGTATCACATGTGGAATGATAAACAATGTCAGCTAGGGAGGGTCAGGGGTGCGACGGGGGTGGCTCTGGGCAATTCCTGGCTACCTTGGGACTGACTTTACCTGTTTTCTCCCATTTCAGGAAGTTTCTCAGCATGTGTGTGAGATAATTTTAAAATTTGAATATGCTCTAATGTATAGGAAAATACAGCAATTATTCCCAAATATTTGTTTTTATAAGTTAATGACTTGTAATGAGCTGGAGGCACATCACGGTGGATCCAGACACACTGATATTCTGCGTCAGAGGAGAACTTTTTGTAAATACCCAGAAAAATTATCAATATCTTTACTTCTCAATAATAATTCCTAAAAAATATAGAAATACTTAAATGCAGCAATTGGTAGCAAGCTGATTAGAGCTGTAAAGACTCCCTGTCTGGATCTAACCCCTGAGCTGATACTGTCACAATGTTTAGAAAAAATAACTTTTTCTTTTTTATTCTTCTATTTTTAGTCTTTTTTTGTCTCTCTGTGAAGCTAAATTTCATTGAAACAGCCCGATTTTTCATCTCAGAAACTCTATTTTTAGGTAATTAACTAGTGAATGCAACATTTGATTGAATTTTATTAGAAACTTTTTTCCTGACTTAGCTGGCCCCTGAGTAATAAGAGCTGGCGGTGCTCTCTCTCTCTCTCTGTCTCTGATTATATTAATTAACTCACTCTTACTCTGCAAATTTAATATAGAACAAGTATTTTATCCAAACTTAAAAAAGTTACTACAGGTTAAAATGTTACATCATTTTAGTAAAATAAGAATAACAAAATGTGTCTCCCTATTCCCTATCGAGAAAGTGAATCTTATAACCATTCTCAGATACCATTTCTATTATCATGGGAAGGATTGCTTCATCGATGCCATTTTCTCTTCTTATTACCATCTAGGAATGAAGGAAGCAGAGTAATAGATGATGTGCACATTAAACCAGTCGAGAGTACCCTTTGCTGCTCGGCCCTTCTGCACACTGTACTACCTTTTAATGAAAAGAGACTTTCCATTTGAAGTAGTCCTCCTTATCCTTACCATCAGTCTCCTTCCATTTGAAACCTGCCACAGGGTTGACGGCTGCAATCAAATAGACTAAGTGTTACTGCTGCCCTGAATGCTCAGTGTCCTCCCCTTCTTTCCAGAGGCCCTGGATGGTGCATCCTCTGAGCTAGGTGCCCAGGAGAGCCTGAGGTGGCTCCTCAGCTCCAGCCTCCCAAGTGACAATGAGCTCCACAGAACCTTGGTGGAGAGGAGGATGTAATTTGCATCTGTAGCTTGCAGGGAATGTGTAAAAGAGCCCCCAACTCCAGCTTGTGTAATAGAAAATTACAGAATAGACTGATATTTCTAGCAGAAATTCAGCATGTGAGCAAATTACCAGACGTGGCAAAAAGAAAGCTAAATTAAGAGAAAGGTGTAGGTAACCTTAAGAAAAGAAATTACATTTTAAGACTTTCAAGAAATATATTCTGAAGTCAGCTCATGTAACTGGTACTCTGCTGCATTTAAAATACTTTTGTCCCTGTTTCCAGGTGGGTAGTACTACAGATTTGCCTCTGCAACTGAAAAGCCATTCTTTATATGTGGAAGCAGAGCACTTAAATGTGTTCTAATCATTTTCAGAATGTAGTGTTTATTGGCTTTGCTAGTCTGTAAGTAACTTGTTCAGAGAAAATGTTTTACACTTCCGTTTTGTGACTGTGGTCCTTGGCACAAGACCTAATTCATAGTTGGTGCTGAGGATATATTTATAAGAACTGTTTTTGACATACCAATCTCTTGATGGTCTCCAAATCCATTTTGCAGGGTCGGTGCATACTTTAAAAGGTAGGTAAGCCCCATGCCTATTCTTTACAAGTAGCCCGCCATTATCCTCTGATGGAGAGAGGAAAATCCTTCTCATTTTTGCATGATTACAGGCAGGGGCTGACAGTGGATGGGGGAGTGGAAGAATTTGAATTTCTCCTAGCCATCTGTGTTTCTGATTTTCTGCGTATATGGAATTTGCATTTCATCTCCTGTATATGCTGACCATTTTTCATGAGTCATCGGCAGCAGAACACCATTGCAGTGGCTGAAGTGTCACCAGTGCCATGGTGAGAGGTGAGCTGGCTTGGGATGGGCTGGTATGCACTGCAGCTCAGCACAACCATGGCAAGTAATAATGGGCCCTGCATCCCAGATGTCTTTTTTGCTTCATGCTTGAAGTAAGTTGCTCATTGCTCCTCATTACAGACCCAGCCTCCCACCATGTGGCTAATTCCCATTTCTTCCTTTTTGGATCTCCCCCTGTTACTTCCCAAGACCTGTCAACTCCCAAATCCACCATGTCCTGGCCAGTTATTATGCACAGCAGTTTCAATTTCTCTTCCTCTCAATCCCAGTGCATCCAGCTCATGGCCAATTCTGATATTTAACTAAACAAAAATAGTTCACTCCCTTAACTGGCTCCACTGGGCTAGCTCTTCGGCATATTATTTGTATCCTTTGTATTTTATTAACTACAGGACATAGAGAAAGACTGTAAGAATTACATTACTTATTGTAAAAAAATGCAAGTTTATTCAAAGAAATATAGAAAATAAAGAGAAGAATGAATGGAAAGATAAAGATCCCAATGTCCCATCACCTCCACCTAATCCATTTTAATATTTTGGCAGGTTCTATAGCTGAATGTTTTTGTCCCCCTAAGGCTCATATGTTGGAACCTGCTACTCCATGCAGTAGTATTAAGAGATGGGTCGTTTGGTAATTTGGTCATGAGGGCTCTGCCCTCACAAATGGAATTAGTGTTCCTTATAAAAAGCTTGAGGGAACCTGCTTGCTCCTTCCCCTTCCTTTCATTACATGACACAGCCTTCACACCCCTCTTCTCTCCCATTCATATGAGGACGCAGAAGCAAGGTGCTGGTGAGGAACAGGCCCTCACCAGACACCAAATCAGCTAGTGCCTTAATCTTGAACTTACTAGCCTCCAGAACTGTGAGCAATACATTTCTGTTGTTTATAAATTATACAGTCTAAGGTATTTTGTTACAGCAGCAGGAACAGACTATGATAGAAATTGGTACCAAGAGTGGGGTGCTGCTGTAATATGTACCTAAAAATGTGGAAGTGGCTTCAGAGTTGGGTAATAGGTAGATACTGGAAGAGTTTTGAAGTGCATGCTGGGACAAGCCCATATTGTTGTGAAGAAACTATAAAGGATGATTCTCGTGGGAGCTCAGAAGAAGATGAGGGTGTAGAACAAGCTTGTCCAATGCATGGCCTGCTGGCCACATGTGGCCCAGGATGGCTTTGAATGTGGCCCAAGACAAATTTGTAAACTTTCAGAAATATTATGAAATTTTTTTTGCAATTTATTTTTAGCTAATCAGCTATCGTTAGTGTCTAGCGTATTTCATGTGTGGCTCAAGACAATTCTTTTTCTTCCAATGTGGCCCAGGGAAGCCAACATATTGGACCCCCTCGTGTAAAGACAGGTTAAGTCTTCTTAGAGATTACCTAAGTGGTCCTGATCAGGATGTTGGTAAAGATATGGATGGTAAAGGCCATTCTGATGAGATAAATAAAGAACATGTTATAGGAAACTGGAGGAAAGGTCCCCTTTATAAAGTGGCAAAATACTTGGCTTAATTGTGTCTGTGTTCTAGTGTTTTGTGGAAGGAGAAACTGATGAGCCATGAAATCAGTTATTTGGTGGATGAAATATTTAAGCAAAATGTTGACGGTGCAGCATGGCTTCTCTTACTGCTTATGGTAAAATGTGAGAAGACAGAAATACGGATGAAACTTATAACCATAAGATTAATCTTTAAATCTTAATTTAAAGATTAAGAAAATTCTTAGCCTGGCCATGTTGTAAAGGGTGAAAAAGTGTGTTTGGTGGAGAACACCAAAGGTGTGGCCAAGCAATCATTTGACAAGGAGATTAGCATGGATCATTGGAAGCCAGGTGTTATTCATCAATAAAATGGGAAAGAATGACCCCAAAGGCATTTTGGAGATTATCAGCACTGCCATTTCCATCATAGGCCCAGAGGGTCAAGGTCTAGGGAACAGGGCAATGTCAAAAGAGGAACTTCGGCCCTGGGGACCTCACCCAAGCCTCTGCTTATGGAATTCCAGGGCAGCACTTCTCTCTTGCCCCACATGTAGCTGCTGTGGGCCCAGGTGCAGCACAGTGTGCAGTGGCAGCCCTTCAAGAGAGCATAGGTGATAAACCTTGGCAGTGGCTGCAAGATGCCTTCTCCACCGGTGTGTAGAGTGCACAGCTGTAGGGGCACAGCTGCCTCCACGTACATTTCAAAGGATATCCCACAGAGCCTCAGGGCCCAGGCAGAGAAAGGCCACAGCACCTGGGCTACTACAGAGATTCCCTGCTAGGGTATTTCCCACTGGAGCCCTGGGGGCAAGACCACTGCAGAGAGTCCACTCTAGGACAGTGTCCAGTGGAGCCATGGGGTGTGACTTCCTACAGCCTTGGGGGCCTACCCTTCCGCAATGAGTCCTAAAGGTGGCACACATCAGCAAAGAAGGTTATTCTCAAGCTTTAAGATTTAATGTTGTTCACTATATTAGATTTTGGAATTGCTTAGGGCTAGTTATCCCTTTCTTTCTTCCTATTTTTTCCCTTTGGAATGAAAATATTTATTCTATGCCTGTCCCACCATTTTGGAAGCACATAATGTACTTGCTTTCACAGACGCACAGCTGGAGGAGGATTTGCCTCAGAATGAATTACATCATGAATTTCACCCATATCTGATTTAAATGAGATTTTGAACTTTAAACCTGTGGTTGGTGCTGGAACAGGTTAAGACTTTTTGGGCTAATCGGATAAAATGAATGTATTTTGCATGTGAGAAGGACATAAATTTTGGGGGTCCAGGGACAGAATGCTATGGTCTAAAAGTTGGTGTTCCCTGGAAATTCATATGTTGTAACCTAATACTCAATGCCATAGTATTAAAAGATGGGACATTTAGGAGGTGATTAGGTCATGAGGGCTCTGCACACCTTTATAAGCACCTTACAAATACCTTAGTGGCTCATAAAAGGCTTAAGGGAGCCTACTTGGCCCATCTTCATTTCTGCCATGCAAGGGACACAGCAAGAAGGCAGCACCTATGAGGAGCCAGCCTTCACAGATACCACATCTGCTGGCAGCTTGATTTTGGAATTTCCAGCCTCCAGAACTCTAAGCAATACATTTCTGTTGTTTATAAATAATACAGTTTAAGGTATTTTTTATAGCAGTAGACATAGACTCAGATAGTAGATTATCTTCCAATCTTATAAATCATTTGTAAAGTGCATGCATGATTCTTTTATAAAGTATGGATTATAATGAGTACAGTAAGTCCTCATTTAATGTTGACCATAGGTTCTTAGAAAGTGTGACTTTAAGTGAAAGATGTACAGCAGGTCCGCAAATAACATTGTTTCCTTCAACATTGCTTTGTTCTAACAACTATGAGAAAAAAATTGGTTTTGTTATACATCAGTTTGTGTAAAGTCCCAGTTTCCAAGAACCTTTGAACAAGGTTAAATGAGAACGTATTTTGTATAGTTTTATTTGAATTACCCTTTATATTATGCTGAGCATTTAATTATGTAATTATGTTTTCAATGTTAAAAATCTCAACTTTTTAATGTTTTATTATACGGAAATAATGTAATTTTTCACTGTTCTTTTATTATTTGACTCAACTTTCCCAGTTCCCCAAATTTTACTATTATACTAATGCTGTTGTCAATACTTTTAATTATTTTTTTTCTTTCAATATATTCTTCAACCTTCAAGGAAGTTGCATTAGTTAGGGTATTGATTAAATTTATGTAAAAAATGCACAAAATACAAGTGGCTTATATGAATTAAACATTCATTTCTCTCTCAGATAATAGAGCAGTCTCAGGGAGACTAAGGTAGGTGAGATAATCCAAGTTTTCCTTCTCTATGTCCATGTTGGCTGCTTTATTTGTCATCAAGCTACAGGGAAAGAAGGAATGAAGGACACAAATCTTTCTTTTCAAAGAGTTTGTTCCTTAAATTTCATATGCCATTTCCATTCCCAGCCAACTGGCCAGAATTTAGTTTTATGGTCTCATGCAGCCACAGGAATGCAGTCTCTGGATGGGTGGCCACAGTTTAAACTGGGGTGCTGGTAGTGTTTGGGCAAGTGAAGGGGAGAATAGAAGCTGGGGAGCAAGTAGCATACCCTAATGTCACAGGGTTGTTGGATCAAAGTACTGGATAATTTTTCTAATTCTTGAAACATCTTTCCAAATTAAACTCTGAGATTGTTAATTTTATGTGTCAACTTGACTGGGCTAAGGAATGCACAGATGTCTTGTAAAACATTATTTCTGTATGATTCTGTGGGGGTTTTTCTGGAAGAGATGAGCATTTGAATGAGGAGGCTGAGTAAAGAAGATTCGCCCTCACCAGTGTGGGTGGAAAGCATCCAATCCATTGAGGGCCCAAATAGAATCAAAAAGCAGAGGGAGGATGGGCGAATTCTTTCTCCTTGAGCTCTGCTCCTCTTCTGCGCTCAGACACTGAAGCTCCTACTAGTGATATCAGAATCACAGACTTAAACCACAGGTGCCCCTCAGTTCTTAGGCCTTTGGCCTCAGACTGAATTACATCACCAGCTTTCCTGGGTCTCCAGCTTGCAGACAACATGTTATAGTACCTCTTGGCCTCCAAAATCATATAAATATATGATCATGGGAGTCAATTTGTGTAATATAGCTCTCACCATCTCTGTTTCTCTAGAGACCCCCAACTAATACAACTCTGCAATATTTGCATTTCTCTGGACTCTGACTGTTTTGTTTCAGATTTATTTTTATTAAGAAGTAAGATTAAGCCTATTTTCACATTTATTAGTTGATTTTATTTCTTCTTTAGCTCATATCACTTGCTCAACAATAAATATATGTTTTTATATACATTTCTTTGAATATCTCTAATATCTACGAGGTTTCTGTTTCTTTTGGCTTACTGCCTTGTCTTGAACCAGCCATCCCATTGCACTTTATTTTCTTTCTCCTATGACACTTAGTCTTTTTCTTTATTTTAATAATTGACCTAGCTGTCTCTCTTTTCTATTTATACACCAGCACAGGACAAGTTATAGTAGTCAGAGTTTAAAAAATGATCTTTTTTAACTTCATAGCACTATATTACATGGTAAGTTTGATTTTTTAAATTGTTTAATTTACAGATGCGTAAATCATTGCAGGTTGTTTACTATTTGGAAAATCACAACATTTCCTTACACTATGCTAATATCATCTTCGCATGTGGGAAGAAGTGAGTGAATTGCTCAGTCACAAGAGATTAAAATGTTTTTATCACGCATTTATTATTAAGAAATTCTTTCATTGGATTTACTCTTTGAGGATTACCTGAATAATCATAATCCAAGTCCCCTAAATTTGAATTAGAGAAACACAAACAGTGGTCGATCTGCTTCCAGTTAAATTTCCCAGTTGCTTTGTCATATGCTATTTTGTTTTCTTTACTACTATACCTCCAGATAATGTAATAACACCTGGAAGAAAATAGGTATAAAATATATATGTGTTAAACTCATTGTTTAATGAATGAATTATTGTGCATTTCTTTGAAAGTTCTCAATAATAAAAGAAGTTCATAAAAAAATTAGTTTGTCATTCTGATTAAGTGCTGCCCAAGGTGGGTTGCAGTGGATCACATGATGCAAGGAGATTTTAGATTCAAAATATTTGGAAAATATCATAAATGTTCAATTTTTTGGAGCGCTATAAAGGATATCAGCATATTATAGATCCTAAAATGTCACGTAGTAAAATTATCTTTTTAATTAAAATTCTAAATGATTTTTTGCCATACATATGTGTGTATATATATATTTGCATATTTAGACACACGTGTGCACACATGTGTATGTATAAAAACCCACAAACATAATTTTTTGAAAATCATTTTAGAAAATATGTCCTAGGTATTTTTTGATTAAACATCAAGTAATGAATTTCTTGTTAATTAATGCAAACACACATGGATATATTTCCTGTGTCAATCACTAAATATGGACAGCTTCTGAATTACGATAGTTCAACTTAAGATTTTTGGGCTTCATGGTGATGTAGAAGAGACATGCATTTAGTAGAAATTGTATTTTGAGTACCCATACAACCATCCTGTTTTTCACTTTCAGTGCAGAATTATGTAAATTATTTATGTAATTTATTCAACACTTTATTATAAAGCAGGCTTTGTGTTAGATGATTTTGCCCACCTGCAGGCTAACGTAAGTGTCATGAGCATGTTAATAAGATAGGCTCGGCTAAGCTGTAATGTTCAGTGGGTTAAGTGTACTAAGGGCACTTTTAACTTACAATATTTTCAACTTAGGACTTTTTTTTTTTTTTTTTGAAACAAGGTCTTGCTCTGTCACCCAGGCTACAGTACAGTGACCCCATCTCAGCTCACTGCAGCCTCCACCTCCTGGCCTCAAGTGATCCTTCCATCTCAGCCTCCTGAGTAGCTGGGACCACAGGCACACACCAACACACCTGGCTAATTTTTATATTTTTTGTAGAGACAGGATTTCACCATGTCGTCCAGGCTAATCTTGAACTCCTGAGGTCAAGCAATCCACCCATCTTGGCCTCCCAAACTGCTGGGATTACAGGCATGAGCCACCACACCCGGCCAATATGATGGGTTTATTGGGACATAGCCCCATTGTAAGTTGAGGAGCATCTGTATCCATATAAATGAACAAAATGTAGGGTCACCTCCACTATGGACAACCAAACACTTTCAATCTATTCCCCTACAATTTAAGCCAACAAAAGTCACCTTCTGTCTTATTCTAATAGATAAACTCTTCTCTCCATTTCTATTGTTACCAAGCTAATCTAAGCTCTAAATAACTTCCACCCGATCTGCCCCAATCTACTCCTGATGGAACTCACAAATTTCAGTGCACTCTCCACATTCAAATGAGTACTTTTTAAAAACTATATTTTGTGTGTGATTTTAGTTCTGAAAGATTTGTTATGACACCCTCCTGCTTTGGGATTGAACTCCAATCTTCCCAGGATGGTATCAAGAGTCATTCAAAATTAATTTTGATTTATCTTCCTATTTCTTTATCCATCTTGGTTCTCACATGCCTCATGCTTTTTAGAGCAAGATGTATTTATTATCCATAAGAATCAGATGAGTTGTTTCATAAAAATGTAGATTTCCAGATTGCCTCCCCTGATACCTGGAGCCATCAAGGCTGAGCACTGTTTCTCCAAAACGGATCTGTGTCTCCAAAGCTTATTGCATTTCCACAGATCCCGGAATATGCCATGAGCTCTCTTATCCTCATATCCTACCATAAGCTCTCATATCCTCATGCCTTGTTCAGAACTCGTACATCTACTCGTATCCCCTCCCTATTGTTCTACTGAACTTATACTGACACTTCCACTATTTCTTCCAGTGTGATACAGTTAATAACTTACTCTACCATTTTTCTCCTTACAACACTTTTTCTCTCTTAGTAAATTTATTTGTTTCCTTTATTGAAGTGTAAGTATTACATTTGAATCACTTAGTTGGGATCCACAGTGCCAAACTAAACTTTCCAGTAGGAAATAGAAATGCAATGGCTATTTACTAAATTACTGTTAGCAAGAACTATAAATATATTTTGTTCCTGATTTAAAAAAAAACAAACACAATGAGGTGTTTCCGCATCTGTGCTTTAGTGTGGTGAAGAAAAATGACAGTTACGGATCAGCATTTATGTTATTTGTATATAATGTTGGTTAGACTTTCTGCCTCTCCAATTGTTTTCCATAAAATATTTTTCATAAAATCTTGTCTCTAAAGTGGAAAAAGTTGTAAAAAAGGACACAATCAAAGAAAAAAACCTAATTCAACATGACTCCATATAACTATTTGTTTGGAAAATGTTTTTATTCTTTAGTCTTTGTTAACTTGCTTTTCTCATACAATTGATAAGAAAGAAACATAATTGCTCTTCACCTGAAGAGCCCCCATGCCACACAGATTTGCAATAGGTCATCTATTTATGTCACTAGAATCTAAGCTGCCTAAGTCTTTGTGTTCTGTCTGGTTTAGTCAACCAGATATGACCAGTTTCTGGCACAATGCCTTACACATAGTAAATGCTCAGCAAATTAAAATCCTGTATTTTAGAGGAAAAGTGGAGCATGCACAACCCAACCATATATCATTTTAAGCATTTAACTCATTATTTCTCACAGCAATCCTATAATAAGAGCTATAGCTATCTTCTCCATTGTACAGCTGAGTAAATTGAGTCACTGAAAGAAAAGGAAATTTGTCTGAAGTCACAGTTGAGAAGTATCAAGAGGTCGGAGTTCTACCTGGTCATTGATGCTAGTCTGTGTTCTAGGTCTCTGTTGCCTCCTGATGCTAGCAAAAATGATGGGAGATCCTCAAATTATACTTGGGCTGAAGTTAGGACACAACCTCACATAACAGTTTACTTCTTGAGAGTATTGCTCACATTTTCTTTGTGAGTCCATGGCTTCCCCAATGTATAAGTAGAAGTACACTTCTTATTCTGCTATATCCTAAACCCATCCTTGTTTTTGAGTCACTTCTGACCAATTTGGTGTTATATCATGAGGATAAACCCACCTTTGGTGGAGTAGTGTGAACTCGTCTTTCATTTGAGAAACAAACTTGATGTGCCTGAGTAATTCTGGGAACTGCATGTCTCCAGAAATGCCATCCCCTCTTCTAGCTATTTTTGACTTTCTCTGGATATTTGCATGGCTGAATTTCTATCTTTTCTTTCTTTCTATTTTTTTTTTTTTGAAATGGAATTTTACTCTTGTTGCCCAGGCCAGAGTGCAATGGCTGATCTTGGCTCACTGCAACCTCTGCCTCCAGGATTCAAGCGATTCTCCTGCCTCAGCCTCCCAAGTAGCTGGGATTACAGGCATGCGCCACCACTCCTGGCTAATTTTGTATTTTGGGTAGAGACAAGGTTTCACCACGTTGGTCAGGCTGGTCTTGAACTGCTGACCTCAGGTGATGCACCCGCCTCAGCCTCCCAAAGTGCTGGGATTACGGGCATGAGCCATCGCTCCTGGTTTGAGTGAATTTCTGACTTGCACTGTTAGGACTCACCACAAAATAGGAGGGCTGCTTTGCAGTGATGCACTTGAGCATGGCTCCAACACTCTGTGATTTCCCTTTTTCTTTCACGTAGGCATGAAGTGGAGTCTACTCCAAAGAGATGGATCACTCAAGATCACAATGCCATATTTATTCTTCTTGGAGAGGCCTATTTAGTGAAAAGGATCAGGCATTTTGAGGAAGAAATTCTATAACAAATCAAGAACTTGCCAGGTCCAGGTGGAAAGTCAAGTGGTACTGTTAACTAACTGCTTTGTGAGTCAGTACCCTGGTGGGTCCTGCAGTATGTCTAGTGCCAGGTCTACCTGTTTCCAGCTTTCAGTTCTGCATCACTGTTCCTTATTATTTGTGATTCAGCACACTAGGGGCATGTTGGGAGCCCTTTGAGATAGGCAGGGCAGATAATATTAATTCTTTAAAGAAAAGTCATGCTCAGACAGGTTAAGGGACTATAGAGGTGGGAGATATTGACTTGAAACCAGTTCTGCTTTCATACCATTCATTGCATTATGTAGAGGATAGGACTGAAGATAAAAAATATGCAGCAGTCCTCCACCCCCTTATCTACAGTTTTGCTTTGCACAGTTTCAGTTAACCATACTTAACCATAGCCCAAAAACATTACATGAAAAATGTAAGAAATAAAAACATTCATAGGTTTTAAACGGCACACCGTTCTGAGGAGCATGATGAAAATTTTACTGTGTGTATTATTGTGTAGGAAAATCATAGTGTATCTAGGATTTGGTACTATCTGCAGTTTCAGGCATACACTGGGGTCTTAGAATATATTACCCTCAAATAAGTGGGCAGGGGACTATTGTATCTCCAATGGTAAAAATTTGATACAATTAATTTATGATTAAATAAGATGGGAGTTGAGTCCATTCATTCCTACATATCAGAATGTACTATCAGTGCTGTATAATATTACTTTATTTATTTATTTATTTTTTGAGATAGAGTTTTGCTCTTGTTGCCAAGGCTGGAGTGCAATGGCATGATCTTTGCTGACTGCAACCTCTACTTCCTGGGTTCAAGTGATTCGCCTACCTCAGCCTCCCAAGTAGCTGGGATTACAAGCATGTGCCACCCCGCCCAGCTAATTTTTGTATTTTTAGTAGAGACGGAGTTTCACCATGTTGGCCATGCTGGTCTTGAACTCCTGACCTCATGTGATTCACCTGCCTCACCCTCCCAAAGTGCTGGGATTACAGACATGAGCCTGCACACCCGGCCTATAATATTACTTTCTATGTCAATGTAAATATTATCTTCAATATAGTGACTACTATTCACATATGACTAGTACAACTTAGAGACTGAATTTTTAAATTTAGTTAATCTTAACTAGTTTAAATTTAAATATTTAATCTTAACTAGTTTAAATTTAACTAGTTTAAATGACCACCATATTTGACAGTGTGGTTCTAGATTCTTACAGTTATGAAAATGTAGCTGATGAATACGAAAAACAAGAATCAATCTTAGGACTCAACAATATATGAAGCAATTTATTTGAAGCAAAAGACATTAAATTACTATTTAAAAACAAACTCAGGCCCAAAGTGTAAAATTGTTGACACTTTCCAATAAAACCTAGAAGTGACTTCAGACCCAGACTCTATTAAAAATAACAGAACAAGGGTTTGGAAAAAGAGGCAAAACAAAAGAAGAACTGGTTACAAGGTTTACCACAGAGCAATTAACATATCCCTGGGAGGTATTAAAGGCAGCTATTTACATTTCATAACAAAATTAAAACCTAAAACCTTTCAGTATTTGTCTAATGTGCATACAATTGAACACATATTAATTTCAGCTCATTCCAAGTTACATAATTAGAAAATTCTAGTATCTTTGGATAGTTCTGTAACAAGTCAGGGAAACTACCCAAAGTTTTCAAAAGCCAGGCAAATGGAAACACTTTTAATATTTATAATATGAATTTCACTATGGAAATCCCACAATAACTATTAGAAAATGCAGTATTTTCAGTATGAATTATTTATGTGACTTACACTTCCATACTGCTGCTGATATGATTTATCTTAATTTTACTGAGTCATTCAGCACCATGCCTCATGATGTCCTTGTGTACCAAATGAAAAATACATATATATGAGTTGCTAAAAGAGCAGATTGAACAAATATATGCAAAAAGTGTAGATTCAAGGGTCATTTTTTATTTAGAGGAAAATCACTTATGTAAGCAGGGGGTTCTGTTTTAATCCTTGAACTGCTTTCCATTTTTGTCAAAACTTGTAATATGATACATAAACTACACGAAGTTGGTAGGAAGTGCTATTATGGATGCTAGAATATAATGCAAAATACACTGACCGAGTGGATCAATAATCCCGTACAGTACAGACAAAATTTAACAGGCTCTGAGTTTCAAAAAATTGTAATAAAATCTCTTTCCATTGAAGATGTCCTGGCTGAAAAAGAAGACCTAAAACTTACTTTAAAATTAAAATGGAATAAAAAAAAAAAGATTGGCTAAAACTGCTAATACATACTTACCAAACA
The DNA here is from genome assembly GCF_000001405.40 of Homo sapiens. Classification (NCBI taxonomy): domain Eukaryota; kingdom Metazoa; phylum Chordata; class Mammalia; order Primates; family Hominidae; genus Homo; species Homo sapiens. The sequence continues at coordinate 164,453,397 of NC_000006.12, forward strand.
GAATCAATCCAAGTTGTGTAGACTGTCCCTTTCCTATTTGTCCCTACTGGAATTATGGTGTTCAGCTCATGTCCAGGAGAAAGGGAACAAGATCATGGATATTCTGGAAATAAAGGCTTTCGAGTAGTATCTTGCATTTTTCTCAACAGATTTCAAGTGTTGAACCGTTATAGAGGAACAACGCAAAGGACTAAAATAGTCAAGTAAAGTTGTATGGATGAGAAGAAATGTAACGAAGGGAGTTCATCAAAATGTAGTCTTCTAACCCACATTGGTTTGCTAGATAGCATTTAAATTTGAGAGCTTGACTTTGAGGTTGAATATTTAATTTCGACTGAAGAGGTACATTTTAGTGCTCTATCCAACTTCCTTTGGTGTATCAAGGATAGAATCTAGATTTTAATGTCAGGTGGCTCTTGTTTTATTTCAGTTTCATTCCTTTTTTTTTTTTCTTGTATTCTCCTAACAATTCACAATACATATTCTACTATCTTTTTATATTTAAGTCTCTGTTGGCTACCTACATTTGCCAAATAGAGTTTGTATTTTCCCTATATAGATTTCCAGTTGGTACAACACTGTTTGTTGAGAAGACTATCCTTACTCCGTTAAATGAGCTTGGCACTTAAAAAAATCTGCTGATCATGCATATGTGGATCTATTTTAAGACTCGATTTTTTTTATTGCTTTATACGAATTTACCACAAGGCTTTAATTACTAAAACTTTATAATTATTTTGGAATTCAAGTATTTTAAATTCTCCAACTTTGCTTTATTTTTCTCCCAAACTCCTTTTCTTGGGTTATTTTTTCATTCCACATACTTTGAAAATAATACATTTGATAATTTCTACAAATAAGTCTAACAGAGTTTTGATTGCGAGTGCAATGAATAAAAAACTTAAAATGTTAAAATTATTGAGGGTTTCAAACCATGAACATGGTATTTATCTGCCTTTATTTAGGCTTTTTAAATTTTTCTTAGCAGTTTGATTTAGTTTTCAGTGTATAGCCTTTACATATTCTGATTTTTAAAAAATCCTTGAATGTTTTATGTTTTTGCAGGTATTTTAAATATAGTTTTTATAAAATAATTTTTTTTAATTTATGGGAACATGATTATTGAATGTTTACCTTGCATCTTGCAGCCTTGCTAAATTTACTTATGAGTTCTAATAGCTTTTTTTGGCAGATTCGTTAAAATTATCTATATACAAGAACTTACTACCTGTAAATAAAGACCTTTTTTTCTTTGTGATTACTAAATAAAACAAAATATCAGATATGACAAAACAGCCAAAAATTTTTCAAAATAAATAAAAGGCAACGAACCGCAAATCCAAGAAGCTCAGAAATCCTCAAGCCAAAGGAACAGTAGGAAAAAATTTACAAAAAGAAAAAAACTAGACATCATTTAAAAATTTAGAAATCAGGCCAGGCGTGGTGGCTCACGCCTGTAATCCCAGGACTTTGGGAGGCTGAGGCGGATGGATCACGAGGTCAGGAGATTGAGATCATCCTGGCTAATACAGTGAAACCCCGTCTCTACTAAAAATAGAAAAAATTAGCTGGGCATGGTGGCAGGTGCCTGTAGTCCCAGCTACTCGGGAGGGTGAGGCAGGAGAATGGCGTGAACCCGGGAGGCAGAGCTTGCAGTGAGCCGAGATCGCGCCACTGTATACCAGCTTGGGTGACAGAGCGACTCCGTCTTAAAAAAAAAAAAAAAAAAAAATTTAGAAATCAAAAGTAAAGTAAAAATAACCATGTTGAGCATGTTTTTATGTGTTCATTTCAATTCTTCTTAGAAGTGTCTCTGCAAATTATGTAAAGGAGGTTTTCACTGAGTAAAGAATTACTGGTTGCTAGTTTTATTTTCAATACTTTCAAGATATCAGCTCCATTGACTTCTTGGCGTAATCTGAAATTAGCATTAAGCTGTGATTATTTTATTTTTAATCTGTACGTTGTGTTTTCTTTTTCTTTGGCTGCATTTCTGATTGTTTTTACTTTATCTTTGTTGTCTTTTATTTATTTTGGAAATGTTCTGCTATTACTTCTTTATTCATTACTCATGGTTCATTCCATTTATTTCCCTTGGTGGGGGGTGGGGGGAGTATGTTCTAATTATACATCTGTCACATTCTTTGTCATTTTCTCTGAGCTGTTTGATACTGTTTTCTTCTATTTTTTCATTAAAAAAAGTCTCGCCTTAACTTTTTTTGTTTACATTTGGATAATATTTGTTGACCTATCTTTAAATTGACTAATTCATATTTAGCTGTATCTCGTCTGCTACTAAGTTGACAGAAATATTTGTCGTATTTGATATTGTGTTTTATTTAGAATTTTATATCTAGCTTTTCCATTTTACTCTTTTCCTTAAAAAATTTTTTTCCTCTGATAATATTTTTCCATCTCTTTAGGCACGTTGTTCACCTTTCCTATGAGTTTTTTAATTATATTAATCATAGTGATTTTAATATGGGGGAACATAATACAATCCATAACGCACCTCTTCCTTTTTATAGAAGTAAAAAGGGGCCACAGATGTCGTTCCTACCAATAAAATCACAAAGTCATTGGACACACATTTTGCCTGCTCAGTACTGCCCCACCAGTAAACCGGAAGACTGCAGGGCTTAGAACCGTCAGAGGATTGCTTTGCCTGTCGGTGTCTTTGAGTTCTAGCATTGTCTGGACCAGTCAGGGATGCTGCTCATACAGCCTTTGCCACGCTGCCTCTGACACCATCACCCATGGCTCCGCTTGGTGGATGCAGCACTTGCTGTAGCCTGTCTCTCAGTGCGCTGCTGGCCTGAGAGACCAGCAGCGCCCCTTGGATCAATGCACCTGCTCTCCTTCCCGGACCTTGTCTTTTTATTTGAAAGAAGATAGAGAAACTGATCTCCCTCCACTATGTTCTGCTCCCTTAGAAGGGAACCACAGCCAGACTGCATGAGTCCTGAGCTAGAACATTATTTAGGAAGACGAGTTCTTTTTTTTTTTGTTTCATATCTACTGATACATGGAGATGTTGGACCCGGAGCCACGGCACACTTCCATTCCTCAGATCCTTAGTTGAGTCTCATTCTTCATTCCAGGCTCCTCATTCATTCAGCTGCTATTTACTGAGTATGCAATGTGCTTAAGAGACCCTAATAATAACTGGGTTTGTTAGTTTTCTATTGCTGCTATGTAACAAATTACATTATTCTTAGTGAACCCTGAATTACAGTATATTTGCCTTCCGAGCCACTGGAAACTGCTCCAGTCTCTGGACAGCTTCTCATCCTAATAGCATCTGATTTCAGAAATGGTGGTTTGAGGGGGAAATCTGCCTTAAAGAGCATGCTCACTCCTATTGGAATCTCCTGTTTTGAGTCATGTATCTACAAACTCTCACTCCCTTGAAAACTTTCAAATTCCTTCAATCACTGATATCTCTATTTATAGCTATAGCTATATATGATAGCTCTATATATTGGTATCCATATATAGATAGAGCTACATATGTTATCTCTCTATGTATATACACATATGCATACATGATATACATATCTATGTCTAGATAGTATATAGATCTATTTCTAGATATAGATGTATCTATAGATATAGACTCTACTTTGATTTTAAAAAGAATTTATATTTGGACCAGCAAGGGCATGTGCTAAACTGATGAAAGTGTTCATTTCAAAGGGCTGAACTTTGATACTTTATAGAATAAAATTTTTGAATATGAATGATAAATATATGTAAATATTATTTAATATTCTAACAAATATTCTTTACAGAACAAAATGAATTAAAAGTCCTTCTGGAAGAAAAAGATAATGGATATGTAAAGGCATACTTCATTTACTATTATGAGAAAACAACTAGATATGCATAGCTGTCTCCAGTTAGCATCCTATTTTCACGGTTTGAGGAGTAAGGTGCAATTAGGGTTGATGGTTCTTGATAGTTTTCCAAGAAAAAGTGATTCTCCACTGTTTTCCTTCAGTTTACTGATGTACAAAGACATTATTATACTGATGCTATGATGCAAAATAAATAAAATCAAATATACAATAACTAAAACACAGGAGATGCTTAAGTTTCTCTCTTATCAGAGATTATTTGAAACACATGCTTTCCTACATAATGTGTTAAATTACAGGCATCTGACACAGTGTGATATCCAGAGGCTTCACTTTGCTGTTACAAATTATTTCTTTAAGTACTTTCTATATAGAATCACAAAATACTGTCTCATATTTCTTTGAATATGAGTTTCATTGAAGCTACTTGACTGTAATCTCTTCTGTAGCTGGATAATAACTCATTCAAAATTCTCTCAGCAACTCTACTTGCTAAAGAGCTTTGAACATAGGACTAGCCTGATTTGCATTTGGTAGATTATATTTTGTTCAAAAACTAGAACTATCATGATAAACCAGTTTTAACACTTTTTCCAAGCTGTTGTAGTAACCGTTCTTTTTTTAACATACCATTGCTTGGCTAATATATCATGTATTCCATCCTTTGAACAGCTGGCATGATACCTAGAATAGATGCAGTGCATTGATTCTTGGCCAGTGGGAATTACAAGCTGGCACCGCACATAACTGGATAAGCAATAACAATAGCAGATGAAGATGTCTCTGCCTGATTCCAATGGAGACCCTCAAGGAAGCCAAAACTCATGATTTTATTTTTTAAATTTATCCAGATCCTAAAATATGACTGAATGAAAGAATACCTGGAATATCTCTCTACAACTAATAGAAGAACTGCTAATTCATCTTTTGGTATCTTACTAATTACGCCTCTCAAAAATCTGTGGACTATAGATAAATAATGAGAGATTGGATAATATTGACTGCTTTCAAATCAACTTATATAATATCTTTCCAAATTCAGTAATGTGTCAGACTTGTGAGCCAGGTGGATTCTGATGCAAAAGGGAGCACCCTGAGTGCTGCTGACAGGATTAATGAATTTCAGCCATCACCTGTTTGAGTACAGACAGTGGAGGTGGCAGGGCAAGCTGTGACTTTGACAAGATTAAGTACTATTTTTCATAAGACGTACTAACCTTATTTCCAGGAAGAGTTAGGTTTATATAGAGTATACTCTAGTAAGCCAACAGCCTATAGTACTTTAGAAATATAAGAGCATTTTGAATGTAAAGAAAATGAATCTAAATCTCTATCACATATGTATTTTTGAATACATTTATGTATTTGAATAAGTAATATTATGTCCCAGCTCAATCATAACAGTGCCTCTGTAAAGAAAATTATATGTAATCTAGCACTACAGAAAGCCATCTGCAAAAGAATTATCTTAAAAAGAGACAGAAAATTAATGATTAGCTCTGTGAAACACATTCATAGAATAATGTAATTTTAGGAATCCTTTAGTCCAATACCTTTAATTTACATATGAAATGGTCAAAGCCTAAGCTCATAAACAGAATTTAATGACAGGGCTATGAGCGTTAGTCCTCTATATTTCTGATCATATCTTTTCTTTCAAATGACCTTGGAAGATCCACTGTAAACTGACATTCATGGAACCCTCCTAGGAGGACTGCATTTCAAACTGGGAATAAGGATACATGTGGCTCTTTAATTTTATGCATTGACATAATTGCAGAATTAGAGCCATTCTATGTGAACTAAAAGATTTTCTATACTGAAACTATAAACAGAACAAAACATAAAGGTAATCAGTGACCAAATATCAATAGTAAAGGAAATAAGTCTGAAGAAAATATAACTCAAAATGTATTGTAGTGATCTCTAAATGAAATGTAATATTCCTATGTGAGTATTCACTAATATATGTCCAAAAGTTGTTTTGAAGTGAAAGAAAACACAAAAGCTACAACATACCAGCCACCCCCAAAACACCAAAAAGACAAAATGGATTGCAGTACAGCCTCTATCCTATTTATGCAAAAAATGTTGGATGAATAGAATAGCATGAAGTCCAGAAAGAGATACACAAAGAATTTTCCTGTGATTGCCACCGTGGAGTGGAATTAATGGAAGGAGGGGACATTTTTCTTTCCTGTCTTAAAAAAATCTTTACATTTCTATTTTATTTCTTATACTTATGAAAGTCTACACATTACTTTGTCATACTATCTTATTTTAAAGTGCTACTGTTTTTGAAATGTGTAATCTGAAGAAGTTAATTCAGTGAATTACCAAATAAGGATATACTTTTGCATACAACAATTGCAAGCATTACCTGAATGATAGAAAATATATCAGAGAGATTAGGAAATGTGATAGGCTCCTATTCAGAAGCAGTACAGTAACAGTTATTCCAAAGGAAGCACAGGTTCAAAGTAATTATTTTAGAATGAAAGAACATTGTTATCCTGGGTTATTGGCAAATATCTTTAAAATCGCTAATGTTAAACTAATGGTTATATGCTATCGTTGATCTATAAGAATCTCACCAAGCAGTTTGCCCTAGACAACTATAAATTCCCCCAAATGCATGTGTCTAAATCTCTGGGAAGACACTGTCTTGATATATGTACCTTGTGAAAACATTCATACATAAACACAATTCTCTGATCTTCTTTCTGACAAATTCATTGTCTTCCTCAGTCTTAAGTGGGCACTAAATTTTGAGATTGAGTTAACCTTGTTCTCATAGGTTGCACAGCTGGAAATGTTAATGTCTTCTTATCTAACTGTTCTCAAAATGAAGCTATAATATGAACCTCAATTATCCCCTGGGTAAAAGAAGCACCATATATTTCCTGAAGTAACAATAATTGTTATTACTTCAATATTCTTTCTCTTCAATTAGATAAGAAGTCCCCAGGAACTGATGACTGCATTAAGAGCACTTGAGAATCAACCAATCCATTTTTATCGCCAGTCCTTATAAAACGAGAGCATGGGCTGGGCACCATGGCTCATGCCTATAATCCCAGCACTTTGGGAAGCCGAGGTGGGTGGATCAGTTGAAGTCAGGAGTTCGAGACCAGCCTGGCCAATATGGTGAAAGCCCGTCTGGAGTAAAAGTACAAAAATTAGCCGGGCATGGTAGCAGGCGCCTGTTTTAATCCCAGCTACTTGGGTGGCTGAGGCATGAGAATCACTTGAACCCTGGAGGTGGAGGTTGCAGTGAGCTGAGATCGCACCACTGCACTCCAGCCTGGTGACAGAGTGAGACCTTGTCTCAAAAACGAAACAAAACAAAACAAAAAAAGAAAAAAATAACTGAGTGTGGATTAGTCATTATTTATTTGCCTCAGTATCTGCTTCAGAAGAAGACATAATAGGAAACCCAGACTTAAATAAATTTAGCTTTCAACTTTTTTTTTTTTTTTCAATTGAGGTGGAGTCTCGCTCTCTCTCCCAGGCTGGAGTGCAGTGGCGCGATCTCCGCTCACTGCAACCTCCGACTCCCAGGTTCACACCATTCTCCTGCCTCAGCCTCCCGAGTAGCTGGGACTACAGGCGCCCGCCACCACACATGGCTAATTTATTTTTGTATTTTTAGTAGAGACGGGGTTTCACCGTGTGAGCCAGGTTGGTCTCGATCTCCTGACGTCTTAATCCACCCGCCTCGGCCTCCCAAAGTGCTGGGATTGCAGCCGTGAGCCACCGCGCGTGGCCTAGCTTTCAACTTCTATTTATATGTCCCACATAACCTTTCCTGAATTTCATATATTCAAAGATTGATTTTGAGCAATTGGGCTGCATGGTTATAGAAATGATTAAATATGATTAAAATATTAGATTCTACGGCTAGAATCTAATGAAACCAATTATCTGGATCTAACTTTTTCAGAAATATCTACTGTATAGTGAATCTACTTTTAGATTGTAGAAGTCTATGACAGGATAATTTAAATGAGAAAAACAATAATGAATTTCTAGCCCATACGAAAGCACGATTGCTTTTAATATTACCTACTCTGACACCTATATGTTACCCATAAGATTTCTTTTTTAAAAAATAAAATATAAAAAATTCAAATGATAATTTCCCAGTATTTGTGACCTTTCTTTTTCTTATTTCCTGAACAACAAAAAAACATCAAGTTGAAATAGCTACTAGGTAGTAAATTATTTGCTATAAAATGCTTAAAATTGTTCATTGTTTATACTGTTCATTTCAATAAAGTCAGCATTTAAAGATTATGTTTCTGTCCTTCATTCTCTTGAAAGTTTAGAAGTCAGGAAAAAATTGAGGTCCAGTGTATTCCACTTTTTCTATTTTTATAATAGTTTTTTTTTCAAAATTGATAAAGTAATAATTTTTTGATGCCAACAATTTATTTATTTACTACAAATCCTTCATCAAAAGAGTATAATCTGCATTGGCACATCACAGCAGACAACTGCAGATACAACAGCCAGAAGTACTTGGTAAATCCTTGGTTTTACAGTGTATTGATCAGGGATCTGCAGAGAAAAAGAACAAGTTGGGTATATATACGTGTATATATATATACGCTCACACATATAAGAAATTGGCTTGTGCAGTTATGAAGGCTTAGAAGACCAACAAGCTGCCATCATCTGCAACCAGAAGCTGGAGACCTGAAAAGCTAGTAGTGCAATTCAGTCCAAGTCTGAAGGCCTCAGGACCAGAAGAGTCAATACTGTAAATTCCTGTTCAAGGAACAGAGAAGATGAAATCAAAGGTCCAGCTCAAGCAGTAAGTCAGCAATAAATGGGGCAAATTCTTCCTTCTGCTACTACTACCTCTTGGTTCCTTTCAAACTCTCAACAGATTGGATGATGCCCACCATATTGGGGATGACAATCTACTTTACTGATTACACCAATTCAAATGTTCATCTCATGCAGAAACACCCTCACAGACACACCCAGAAATAATGTTAATCTGAGCCCCTGTGACCAGTTAAGTTGACACATACAAATTAATCATCATAAGCCAATCCCCTGTCAACTAGGCACCCACAGGCATCTTTTTAAGACACATTTAATCTTACATAAGGACAAAACAAAGTCGTGCAACTATCTTTCCCACAACCGAAAATATTAACTCCTTTCCCAGGAGAAGAGGCAAAACACTTGAGTGATGTTTACTGTTTTTCTTGATAACCCATAAATTAAATATTATAATGTAAAATTTGTAATACCTAAATACTATGAAACAATTAATATATCCGTATTACATGGTTAGGAAATAAAAGAGGAAAGAAAGCATTATATATATTATATACATATGCAAATAGACATTTAAAACAAAATAATGTAGACATATTTATGACAATTACAGTCCTTATTTCTGTGACTGTTCAAGGCCATAGCTGGTATTTGTAACTACCCAGTCTGTATCCTCATTGCTTTTTCACCTACCCATTCTGTACTACCTTTGTTTTCAGCAAGCACCTCAGTTGGTCTTGATTTTTTTACCTGACTAGGTGATCCAAACCTTCAATTTTGAAGGATCTGGGTCATTATTCATAATTTCTGGATTGTGTTGTTGTAGTTTTCCACTGATCTTAATCACAGGGCATGGTAGTACTAACAGACACCTTAAGGGATCTCCTATATTCGAGACATTCTGTTCTTTAGTCCCTCTGTGATTATTAGTCCAGTTTCCTAATGGAAGTTAGAAGCAATCATCCCAGCCAAAACTGTAACTCCCCTTTGGTCTGTTGAGTCAGCGTCATGTGGAGCCCAAAGTGGCTGTGTGGCAGTCTTTATTTCCAGTTCAATGGAATTAAAATCATTGTGTTTTTTGAAGAAAGCATTCTTTCCTCTGGAATTATTACCTCTAGGCCAACAGATCATGAAGTCATGGGAACAGGCAGCAAAAAATTTGCTGGTGGGTCATTAAGAATAATAGTAAGTGGTGTCACTGAAATTTCTATCCCTTGATTCCTGAACGCATGAGTCTTGGCTATGAGAGAAATACCACGATATGTTGGACAATGATTAAGAACACATAGCCTTCTGGAGAACATGGCCCCGGTCCTACAAAATATTGCCACCTAGCTGAGTCTTCAAATGGTCATTCCACCATTCCATAAAGCAAGCTGCTTCAGGATGGTTGACAACATGGTAATACCAGTGAATTTCATAGTGTGGCCTATTGACACCCTTCTTTTGCTGTATAGTCTGTGTAGTGAGTTCCTTGATCAGAAGCAACACTGTGTGGAATACTATGTCAATGGATAGCGATTATGCAAATTCATAGGTGATAGTTTTGGCTGAAGCACTATTGCATGTAGGGAAAGGCTAATAGTAGCATACCAGATACCAGGAGTTGTAATAATTTGCTCAAGCATTGAAATCACATCTAGTATAGCAGCTGCAACTGGACCCGTCCCCTAGTTAAGCTTATAATACTCCACTGTTATTCTCCAAGATTCAGCTATCTTCTGTGCAGGCCAAATAGAAAAGGTCAATGGAGATGTGGTGGAAATCATCAACTCTGCATCTTTTGAGTCCTTGATGGTGACACTAATCTCTGCAATCCTTCTAGGGATGCAGTATTCTCATTATTTATTATTTTCCTGGGCAGAGGCAGTTCTTATGACTTCTACTTGGCCTTTCCTACCATATTAGCCTCATTTCAGAGGTCATTGGATTAAAAGGAAGATTCTGCAAGTTACTAAATATTTTTATTCCAATTATGCATTTCAAAACTGGAGAAATAACCACAGAATGGGCTCAGGGATACACTGGACCCACTGTGAGACAGACCACAGATAAAACTTCATTGATCACCTGACTTCCATAAGTGTCTACTCTGACTGGTGGGTCATAGTAACATTTTTCATGTCCGAGAATCAGTATCAGTTCAGAGCCAGGGTCAAGTAGTCTCGGAGAGGTCTGATTATTTTCGGTTCCTCAGTGTACAATTATCCCACTAAAAGGCCATAGGTCCTTTTGGTGAAGGCTAGGAGAAAGATTAACCTGGAATTTGGAAGGCCACCACTTCTGGGCATGGGGAGGCCAATTCCACTGAAGGTGAGAGGCCACCTGCATTGGCAAAGAAAAATCATCAGAATTTAGAGATCAATGATCACAACTCTAGCAGGATCGTCCCACATGTCCCCATTTTGACTTATACAATCTTTATCATTGATGGACTTTTTTTTCCCAATCAATGCCTTTACTTTAATAATAGACATGCTATGAATTTGGAAGTTCAATTTCTGTTGTAATTCAGCCACTCACAAGATGAAGTTCTGCATTTTGTTTTTAGGGATTTCTGCCCTGCTACCAGAAAAGAAGAAAGTTTCCTTCAGGGTACACATAAGAGCTCTTAGGTTATTTATGTGGCATTTGAGATGGGAATGGAAATCTCTGATCTCATCTTTTTCTTTCACCATGTTGTCC